>NC_000010.11:50446125-50597640 GCF_000001405.40 Homo sapiens
CGAAACTTCATTAGCAATTTTAATTTTGCCCCGGTCCTCTGATCTCACCCTGCCTCCATTTGCCTTGTGATATTTTATTACCTTGTGAAGCATGTGATCTCTGTGACCCACACCCTATTCATACACTCCCTCCCTTTTTGAAAATCACTAATAAAAACTTGCTGGTTTTGCGGCTTGCTGGGCATCACAGAACCTGCCAACATGTGATGTCTCCCCCAGACACCCAGCTTTAAAATTTCTCCCTTTTGTATTCTTTCCCTGTATTTCTCAAACAGGCCAACACTTAGGGAAAATAGAAAAGGACCCATATCGAATATCAGGGGCTGGTTTCCCCCGATACACAAAAAGACATACAATAATGTTCACAGTAGTTATATTCATAACAGCCAAAAACTGTAGACCATCCAAATGTCTATCAATAGGTGAATAACTTCATGCAATAGAATACTACTCAATAGCATGATACATGCAGTAAGAGTATGAATCTATAAAACACCAGCAAGTGGAGCAAAAGACACCAGGAGCATAAGCACACTCAGTATAACTACATATCTGAAGTTCTGAAAGAGGCAAAATCTACTGATAGAATCACACTCGCACACGTGTTTGCCTCTGGGATGGCACACCTGACTGAAAGTGGACACAAGAGAACTTTTTGGGATGATAGAGATGTTGGTTCACTATTCACTTCAAATTTGTACATTGTATAAATTATACCTAAATTTTAAAATAAATCACAAAATAATTTATTTGAATGAGTTCTGGAGGAGATATGGTCTCTCACAGGTCAAAAGTGTTTCTTTCTTATCTTGGGGAACAACTTCTAAAGCCTCAAAAATAGAAGGTGTGTGTGTTTAATTTACACATGTCATTTTTGAAATATATACCCAATCAAAGCAAAGGAAAACAAACTATTGTCTGCTTCCTATCTAAATAGTCTTTGAACATTTGTTCCAACCAAGGAGAATTAAAAGCAATCTGTCATTTAGATTTTATTTAATTTTACTTACCACATTAACAATTTAAAGGTTACTTTTAACAATTCAAGGGAGAGAGACTCAAAAAGAAAATAAACTATAAAACACAAATCCAAATTTTCTAATGTCTTATTCATTCTAAAATACTAAATTCCTACTATAATCCAGGTAAGATGATAGTCACTAGAGAAATGAAAATTAAATTTTACACCCTGCTGTTAAGGACTTCTAAGTCTAGTGGAAGAGATATACATAAATAATTACCTTAAAGTATAAATAAGTGTTCTTGAATATAAATTGGTAAAAACCTTACTTGGGGAAAATGTATCATTTCTTTCCTCTTTAAAATTGTAACACTTAATACTGATAAATATTATGTAAGAAGTAAACAAAATAAAGTCAGTTATTCCTTCTGAAGGAAACAATAATTTTAAGAAAAAAATTATTTTATTAACTATCTCAATGTAAACATATTTCTTAGCTCAAAAATATAACCCATATTGTTTCTGCTTCTTTTTAAATTATTTTTAATTGACAAATAAAAATTGTACATGTTTATCACGTATAACATGTTTTGAAATACATATACATTGTGGAATAGCTAAATGGAACTAACTAACATATGCATTACCTCACACATCCTGTTTTGTGGTAAGAATACTTCAAATCTACTCTTTTATCAATTTTCAAGCATATAATACATGGTTATTTACTGGAGTCATCATGAAGTACAATAGATCTCTTGTCCATAGTCATTTTAAAGAAAATAATCCCATGTGCAGCAAAGGAGACTAGGCAACTTGTCCTATACCACTTCCTCACACCCTTCACCCCCAAATTCCACAGCTGGTTCAACTGGGATAGGTTCCAGTGCAAAGTAATCTGAAGGCTAGTCAGGAACTGTAGTGACTCCCTCAAAATGAAGAGATGGGATGGATCAATTCACAGTCTCAGGAATCCAAACTGTGAAACAAATTCTTTCTCTTTCATTTTCTCCTGAGCCTACTTTTGTCCCCACCACTGTATATTCAGCTGTTTGGGAAGCTGAGGCAGGAGGATCACTTGGGCCCAAGAGGTGGATGGAGGCTGTAGTGAGCTGTGATGGCTCCACTGCACTTGAGCCTGGGCAACAGAGCAAGACCTTGTCTCAAAAAAAAATTAATGAAAAATTTATCTTCTAAAACAATATAAGAAGAGTATATTTTTTAACATTTTTCTTTAATATCTGGCTTAAGAGAAAATCACAAATTCCCTTATTAATGTCTGCAGTCAATCTATTGTGATACCATATACAGCCTCTGGAAAACTCTATTGCACACTAGAGAATGATTGTGAAAAAGGGAAATAAGAATGAAAGACAGGCCAGGCACGGTGACTCACTCCTGTAATCCCAGCACTTTGGGAGGCTGAGGTGGGTGAATCACCTGAGGTCGGGAGTTCGAGACCAGCCTGACCAACATGGAGAAACCCCATCTCTACTAAAAATATAAAATTAGCCGGGCGTGGTGGCGCATGCCTGTAATCTCAGCTACTCAGGAGGCTGAGGCAGGAGAATCATTTGAACCCGGGAGGCGGAGGTTGTGGTGAGCCAACATGGTGCCATTGTACTCCAGCCTGAGCAACAAGAGTGAAACTCCGCCAAAAAAAAAAAAAAAAAAAGAATGAAAAGACATATACACACTAGGAGAAAATATTTGCAAAAGACATACTGATAAAGACTTGTTATCCAAAATATTCAAAGAACTCTTAAAACTTAACAATAAGAAAACAATTAACTTGATTTAAAAATGGGCTGAAGACCTTAATGGAGAAATCACCAAAGAAGACTTATGGATAAAAATAAGCATATGAAAAGGGCTCCACATAATATATCATCAGGGAAACGCAAATTAAGACAACATGACATACCACTACATACCTATTGAAATTTTTTTAGGTCTTTAAATCTCACATATAAAATGAGAACAGAGGAATTTTTAAAGCAAGCAATATGTTTTAAAAAGAGAAAGAAAATAAAAAGCAGAAAGTGTAGCTCTTAAAATTTATTTCTTAAACTTAAGAGCTCTGGAAAACCAGGTAATAATTTTGAGGTTCCGTTAGTTGAGCACAGAAAACTAATCCATCTACCTACCTGCCTATGTATTATTTTTGCTTGAGAACAGATATGGTTAAATCCTCAGTGTTCACAATGTATAACACATTCTGCTAGGAATTGGAAAGCTTCCTAAGATGAACAATGATTTCCTTTTAGAGTAACCTGGGGTGGTGGAGGGAGTGCAGGGCTTTGATTATGACAGATCTGAGTCTGAACAAGAGGTCCAGTGCTTATGAACTATGTAGTCTTAGACAAGGCTGAGCTCCACTTTCCTGCAAAATAAAAAAAGTATCAAGGGCTCTGTACTTAACCCTGAACTACTCTTTCCTAGGATGGTCTTGCCCCGATACAGCAGGCTCACCCCTCCACTTTCTTCATGTCCTTACTTAGATGTTGCCTTCTCAATGAGGGCTTCCTGGCTTCTCTACAAATAGTGTGTGCACGTGTGTGTGTGTGTGTGTGTGTGTACACACATGCCCCAATTAGACTTACACTCCCCATCCACTTCTCTTCTTTATTTTTTGCCATAGCCTCTGATCCAACAGGTTATCAGTGATAACCCTGATCACCACTTAGCATACATGTATTTTCCTTATTCATCTAGTTTGTCATCTTTCTCCCACTAGACTATTAGCTCCATAATACACGTGTTGGTTGTTCTTTTTTTTTTCTACTTGTCAATTTTGCTCACTGCCTAAAATGTCTAAAGGAGGGCCTAGAAAATGGAAGTGTCACTAAAAATCCACAGAATGAAGTAAGATAATGAAGGTCCCTGCAAGATTCCAGGGCTTCATTCAAGATTATGTAAATAAAGACCTTAGAATATAAAAGGCACTTAGTTAATATTATCTTTAGAGAAAAGACTATATGAAACCATTAATAGAATTTTTTTTAATAATGAGAATAACAGTGTCAGAGATGACACAAGACAGTTGATTCAGCAACAAAAATGTGGAAGAAGAAATAATTTCTATAAATCCATGGTAGTGAAATCATATCATTCTGGGTTATTCTATATGATGAGACTAAGAAATTTATACTTTACAGGAAACAAAGTGGAAGAGAGGAGTGAGTGTGAAAGCAGATTAAGGATTACAAGTGGATGTTATTTATGTGCCCTTCACCCCTGGTTAGCCATCCCTAACTGGGCCCAATAACTGAAACAGACAAGAAAGTCAATTTTATTTTTCTTTGATTTATTCACTTTAACAGAGGGAAAGGGAATAGAATGTGAGAATGCTGGGACAATAATCATGCCTTCAAATATTTTTCTTGACAACTGCTTTTCTGACTGTATGGGAGTCTATAAGTGAGTATACTAATAATTAATATTTTCCAAGGAAACATTTTAGAAGAAAAAGATTCCATAAATAAGCTATTAGTTACCTAATTTGTGTTTCAATTATGGTTTCTTTCCCAAAATAGTTCAGGAAGAAATAAATATAGGAAGTTAATATAAAAATATCCAACACATTTTTAAATGTGATATAAAAAAATTATCAAGTGACCCAAGATTAAAAAACCCAGTACAAAAAAGAGAAAAAGACTTATCCACATCAAGAAAGCTTTCTTCATTTTAATAATTTCCTAATAAACCTTTTAAAATTATTAGTTTGATAAACTTTCCTTATCAACTTAAATTTATTCAATTTATTAAAAATATCATTGATATAATATTCAGAAATATACTCATTACATTAAAAATACAAACAACTGTTAAAAGAAAAAGAAAACTCTAGGAGAATTTATATTTACATTCTAAAATTTGAACAAAAAATAACAAATAGTGGATGCTTTGGATTAAGTAATTTTAAAGTCTGAAAATATTTATAACATGAGATGCAAACTATTTTCCTCCTTAGAAACTATTTCCAATATGAAGTAAACATTATAATTATTAAAAAATGATTTTTAATGGCTAAATGTGGAGATCTGTCAAGCTTACACATTTTAAAAAATTAAAACTTCCAAACACAGCTACTTAACAATCATAATAAATATAGCTTTCTAAGCCCTCCAAATATTAATTTTAAAATTTCTAATCATAATGTAGTCTTATGTTAGCATGTGGCTGACAAGTGATGCTATGAATCCAGTTGGCATGTTTACCATGTTATGTTTCTGGTTCCTCTCATGGCAGAGATTTAAAACACACTACTAACTTTCAAAAACTTCAAAACACATAACTGTACCAGGCAACCATTATCCCTACTCTGATCATTAAAACTTGAGCATTCTACCAATTTAAATCAACATTTATTCCATTTAATATTTCCTTAATACCATAATACATGCTAAAAATTATTCATCAGCTTAAGTCACACAAAATATATTGCTGGTTCAAGGAAATTAGGTTCTAATGTGGCAATGCAGACTGAGGGCTTGGTCAGAGAGGACTACTTGCATTATATCAGCAACACGAGCAGCAGACCCACCTCTGCAGAATTAATATAACATGGGATTCTGAAGAAAAAAAACTAAAGTTCATAACAGCATGTGATTCATTCAGGTGAGTGGCACACATATGTGTTACATATTTCTATCAAATGGCAATGCTTCTCACTAGATATACCCCTATTTAGTGCTGAAGAATTACAGAGTCAGCTGAACTGCAGATCTGCACACTGCACATTTAAGCCATAACATTAAAAATATCTTCTTGAGACTAGTTTCTTTTTTTGAAATCACTAACATATTCTACTAATTGCAACTATTTGCCCTTACAAATAATATTACACTCATTCAGAATCAAATGAAATAACACTGAGTAAAAGGACTAAGGTACTACAGAGTCTCTCTCAGGGTATCATTAAATGGACCCATGGCAGATATCATGTAACAAATAATATTTCCTTATTATTTGTTATTTCTCAGTCATAGAGCATTACTTAGGAATCAAATCCTACTTAGAAGGGTAAAATATACATAGTACATATAGTAAAATATTAGAAAATTAATCTATAAATACATATAATAAAATGCTAGACAATCAAATGGACAAAAATAAATCTCATTTTGATAAATAATATCTCCAAGACATCAAAGTCTCAGCCAACTTAGAGAGCACATTACAAGGGGTTATTCTCCACCTCACTCTTCACCTAATCTGACTGTGTATAGCAGACATTTAAATTAAAAGAGGAGACTGCGCTGTACCTAAGTTTTTAATAATTTTTTGAGTTCTGTCGTAAATGAGTATCCACCTCATCTATTAGAAGCACATACTAAAACAAAACAACAAAATAGGTCTATTTTTGAAGAATGATACACTAGATACCTTAAACTGGTCTCTCTTAATGAAAATAATTGAAGCATAATGAAGTATAAAATCTCTGTAAATGCGCCAATGAGGTGACAATAAAGTAGGACATTCACAGAAGCCAAACAAAGTAAGAGTGAGAATGCTGGGAGGTAGAAAAGCACCAAGGCCACAACCCTAGTAATACTGAATTTCCATTATAATGATTGTACAGAGCAAGAGAGAGAAAAGATAAAACCAGGACCACTCAAGCTGGTGAGTTTAACAGACCCCTGCGTAAAACTGGAACTTCACAAAACTATACCCTCAGTATATGGGCAAATTAGAAATAAACTTGCTACACCAAAAGAGGAACTGCTTTTTTAACCGTAGCATCTTCAGGGGGTGGAAAATCTCCCTTGAGAATTCATAACCAACAACCAGTATTTATGTTGTTTTGTGGTCTAAATTTATGCTATATGCTTCAAAAAACCTGAGGCAGAGAATATAATGTAAAGAGTGTCCAGATTGATAGTGGCTACAGGCACCTGGGAGAAGCAAATATAAATACTCTCTGGAAAAATCTACCTTCAGTCTAGGCCTTGAACAGCTCACACAGATAAAACTTCCAAGGAAAATGAGTTCACAGTCAATAAATCACAGAAATACAAGGAAATAAGAGACCATCAGTGAGAGCCAACAGAAACAGGCAAATGAATCAGATCTGAAAATATTTCGAATACTAGAATTATCAGCATAAAATAAGTATATTTAATATATTTCAATAAGAGAAATTTAAAAGGGAGTAAAATTTTATCTGAAAAAACTACCATGTTGACTTGAAAAGTGGCAAAAATGGTATTTAAAAATTAAAAGATAAAAAACTCATGTGAATTCATTCAACATATATTTATTAAGCACCTATGTACTAAGTATTACACCTTGGTCTAGGCTCTGGGGATAAAACTGTAGGATAAAAAATAAAATAAAATAAAATAAAATTTAAAAATATAAAAATCCCTGTCATCAAGGACGGCTTAAACAGCAGATTAGAAATAGCTGAAGAAAGAACTGGGGAACCAAGTGACAAATCCAAAGAAACTGTCCAGAATTTTAACATAAAGAAGATGATATCAAAAATATGAAAGAAGGATGTGGAAAATGAGTGAAAAAGTCCAACATGTGTTCTTCGATTTCCGGAAAGAAATGATAAAGAAAATGGGGAAGAGGCATTATTCTAAGAAATAACGATAAAATATTCCTAATAGCAATATTTAGGCCCAGAAAACCCAAAGATTCTCAGGGAGAGACAGAGGGAGAAGGAAGGAAGGAAGGAAGGGAGGAAGGGAGGGAGGGAGGGGAGAGGAAGGAGGGAGGGAGGAAGGGAGGGAGGGAGGGGAGAGGAGGGAGGGAGGGAGGGAGGGAGGGAGGAAGGAAGGAAGGAAGGGAGAAAGGGAGAAAAAGAGGGAGGGAAAAGTTGGGAGAGAAGGAGTTTCCCCACTTAGATATAAACAAATCACAGACTCCTAAAAACAAAGCAAAATCTTTAAAGCAGCCAGAAAGAAAGAAGA
The DNA here is from genome assembly GCF_000001405.40 of Homo sapiens. Classification (NCBI taxonomy): domain Eukaryota; kingdom Metazoa; phylum Chordata; class Mammalia; order Primates; family Hominidae; genus Homo; species Homo sapiens. The sequence continues at coordinate 50,454,007 of NC_000010.11, forward strand.
GATGATCTATTCATACTAGACTTTCAACATTAATTTACATAGGCAAAAAAAAAAAAAAAAAAAGAAAGAAAGAAAGAAATGAGTTTTCCAGATAGCAGCTTGACCAAAAGCACAACAGAAAGGGGAATAGAGAGTCTGGGTAGAGCCTAAAGTTTGCACTGGGTAAAAGCAGGGATATGGTTAGAAATACACAATGGGGACAGATCATGGGGGGCCTCACATGTCGAGCTAAAGAGTCTGGCCTTTATCACTCTCAAGTGAGTGGAGAGTAAAGTAAAGGCTTTTAAGAAGGGAATAGAACTATGAATGTAGCATCAGAAAAACTAACTAATCAGCTAGACCAGATGCAGAGATATCAAGGGAAAAGCTATTAAAATAGACTAGCCTGTGGTAAAAAGGACCTCACTAGAGTGGTGATAGAGTAGTGAAAAGGGACAAAAAGAAACAGAGAAAAAGGACATTATATATATAAAGGGGAAAAAATGGGGGAAAAAAGAATCAGTGAGGCTTAGTGATCCATTCAACATGGGTCACAATGAGTCTAAGATGCTTAAGGTAATCAGTCCAACTTCTCTCTCTTCAACTTTTATGAGCAATATATCACAATTTTCCCCTGAATTAACTGGAAACTTCTTTTTATATGCTACAGTCCAGCAATTTATTATTATTTTACAATTCTACTTAAACTACCTAAGAAATGAAGCTGTCTTAGTTTTTACCACTGAAATGTGGCACTTGATAAAGCTTAATTGCTATAGAAAACACAATTTTGATGGAGGAAATCCTACCTTTTCTCTGAATTATTTAATGAGAGCTGGTGAATATAAAAATTCACCAACTTATAGGCAGTACAAGAAGTAAACAGCCAACAAGAACATAGGTCATGCATTTTAGACTTGATCTAAAATAGTCTTTCCTACCCAAAAACACTCATGCTCTATTTTCTTTTTAGCATATTTGAAATATTGTTTACCTCCCTCTTTATTACTTGTCTCCCTGAAGACCCTGCCCAACCCCTTTTGGACTGTAAGTTCCATGAGAGAAATGATCTTGTTTGTTTGCCCTGCTCACTATTGTGTTCTAGTATCTAGGAAAGTGCCAGGCATGAGGTAGAGATATTCACTAGATAAATGACTAACAGAATGAATGGCTATACCCAGGGCTGCAGCACTGCACAATTCCAGGGGTGTCATTTACTCACATCTTGTTGAATGTCACCCCAACAGTTGTAGCCATATACACAGTTCATATACAAACAGCTCAGGCCCTATTTGACACCAATATATCCTGTTATGTTTGCAAATTGGTCATAATTTACCCCTTTCCTGATGGAGAAAGCAAGAATTTTCTCTCCAGTTTTCACCTCAAGACTAAGCTCATTCTCTGAATAACTAAATGTATATTAACATTAAGGTCTTCATACATTGATACCCCTGCACCAACTGTCTGGTAAATAAAGCTAAGATTTTTAACTGTGGTTAAGGATTCTGGGCACCAATTGTAAATTAGCCATTGCAAACTCTTTAGTTAGTTCCTCATTCTTTGCTGGTTAAAAATATCTTTGGAGAAAATTCTCTAGTCAGTCAACTGAGCTGTGGAACAAAAACCACTAAAATCTTTTATTCGGAGTAGCTGGTTCTGTGATTCACCAATATAAATCTTCAATTTAAGAGAGCCCACCGAAAATGTTTTAAATGAGTCTAGAAATAGATAATGAAGATTTCACAGACTGTCTGGCTGAATTTCATACACCACATCACTCTGATGGAAAGAGCATCTTCCTACTGGGTAATCCACATGAACGAGAATATAGAAACCAGTCTCCTGTTGGCCTTTAACAGGTTATACCTTCCACCACTCACTGCTCTGATCACTAGAAGGTTACTTTCTACCACCAATGCTTGTAAGGCTATCACTCTTTCATCTCTCCTAACCCTAACATTTCTGAGGTGCCTCTATGGAAACCACTATCATAAAAGCAGGCTAATCTATGGGAAGTCCAACCAGAGGACCTATGGTAAATATCAAACCCAAGAAGGACTGTGTCACTGCAGGAGAATTACAAGCATAATGGAAACTTGGAAGTAATACTGTCTGGGTGTCCATTTTCCATCTCTTTTACATCCACCCATAGGATCTACAATGCCCCAGTGATTTTCACAGTCTTTACTCCCTTAAGCAGTAGTCCTTTCTTTCAGCAAAAATTTGTGGAAATTCAATACATAAAACATATAAAGGCAGAGCTGCTGGTTGATGGGACAATAAGGAGGTCCTCCTTATTGTCAATAAGGACAATTATTGATAATAAGGAGGCTTTGTCCTCCCTCACCCCTTACCTACTCACATGACACTATGGAATCCCAAGGGAAATAAGGAACCATGTCTGAAAAGTAATGGTTTGGTGAGGATCATAGTGATTTAACTTAATATAGTCTTTAAGAGAACAAGAAGTAATAATAAGTCATAGTCCTAGCTTCACAGGAGCCTTTTCTGAGTAGAGTGCTTCTGTTACATGTTCACCCATTTCAGCTGTAATCAACTTCTCAGTTTGATAACTTTAATACCTAGGAGCACAGAACTCTTTGGTTTCAGGAAAAGTCACATTAATACTACATTATGCATGTCTCTCCAACCTCATTCATGACACCTGGGGTTTCCTCAGGTAGTAGCTGCTGACCCAGGGTTTGGCCCATGTGAAATATTTAGGAGAAGAAAAAAGGTTTAGTTAAGTAGTAAAGCCAACTAGGAGAGCCAAATCACCTGCAAATCAGGATTTGAGAAGTTTCATCTAAGTATGAAAACACTGAAGTTACTTGTCACAGACAAGCCACCTCAAAGAAAGAAAAATGGGTTTTCAAAGTTTCCCAGTCAAAAGAGAATTTTCCCATGCTACAGTCATGCACAGCGCTTGTACTGGGAAACTTCAAGTCAGGTTCATTGCATGATGTGACAGGGGAAGTGACTGAAACTGGATTTTCTCATCATATCTGAAAGCATCATTAGGATATCATTATGAAAACTAGTGGCAATTATGTTCTTGTTTTTTAGAGAGGTTTTAACTAAATTGAATGAGGATTAGGTTCACTAATAGAATGGATTCACTGACGCTATTACCCAAAGGGAATACTTATAGCCACTAAAAGTATGTTGCAAAAGAACATTTAAGCACATAGGAAAAATGTTGCAATTATGCTAAGTAAAAATGGATATAAAACACTAAGATTTTAAGTTTGCATTTTAAAAAAGGCATACATCTTCATAGGAATAAAAACTGGAAGCATCTTTACCAAAATATTATCAATGGCTATATCTAAGTGGTAATCTTTATTTTGTTGTTTAAACTTTTCAATATTTACCAAATTTTCTTTTTTTCCTTTTTGTTCTTACTTAAGCAAATGTTTTTTACATTTTTCTTCTTTTCTACTTTTATCTTAGGTTCAGGAGATATATGTGCAGGTTTGTTACACGGGTAGGTTGTGTGTTGCTGAGGCTTGGTGTACGAAGGATCCCATCACCAAGGTAGTAAGCACAGTACCCAACAGTTAGTCTTCCAATCCATGCCTCCCCCACCCTCTCTCTCAAGCATTCCCCACTGTCTATCGTTCCCATCTTTATGTAGTCAATGTTTAGCTACCACGTATAAGTGAGAACGTGTGCTTTTTGGTTTTCTGTTCCTGTATTAGTTCGCTTAAAATAATGGTCTCCAGGTGCATCCATGTTACTGCAAAGGACATGATTTCATTCTTTTTTATGGCTGTAAATATTCATCAAATTTTCTATGTAGAATCAGGAAAAGACACTTAAAAGCAGAAAGAAATTTTATTTACGGAAAAGAAATGGTGTACCTAAAATTCTGAGATTCATATATAAATGCCAGAGCTGTCCTTAACTGTGTGATTATATGGCCAAATTCCAGTCCCAACTTGCTTTGGAAGAAACAGCTGCTCATGCAACTGCTAAGGTGAGTCGACCCTAATTGCTGCTAGCAGCATGGTAAGCACTGGGTGGGAAATGGCATGCAGCCCAAGCAGACACATCCAGTTCTCAAGAGGGGCTCAGTCCGTCATTCACCAGAATTGCCACTATCCTGATAAAACCTCGTTGATGAACAACACCAAGCCCATCTAGAAGCTTTCGCTTCTGTGAGGATGAGGCTTATTTAGCTGTTTAGGACGGCCCTTGTTTGAATGCTAAACATAAGAAAATTCTTAGACATGTTTATGATCTAAATGTCATCACTGTGTATAATCAGCAAGGCAATGTAATTGTTAGAAACATTGCTGGTGAAAAATAGATCTAAGTTCAATTCTGGCTCTGCTATTTTCTTTTTCTCTTTTTTTTTTTTTTTTTTTTTTTTTTTTTTGTTTGAGGTGGAGTCTCGCTCCGTCGCCCAGGCTGGAGTGCAGTGGCACAATCTCGGCTCACTGCAAGCTCCGCCTCCCGGGTTCACGCCATTCTCCTGCCTCAGCCTCCCGAGTAGCTGGGACTACAGGCGCCTGCCACCATGACCGGCTAATTTTTTTTTTGTATTTTTAGTAGAGACGGGGTTTCACCGTGTTAGCCATGATGGTCTCAATCTCCTGACCTCGTGATCTGCCCGTCTCAGCCTCCCAAAGTGCTGGGATTGCAGGCATGAGCCACCGCTTCCGGCCGGCTCTATTCTGTAATCACATGAGCTTGGGTAAGTTTCACAATATTATAAACCTCAGTGTATTCATCTTTCAGTGAGGTTGACCACATCTATCTCTCAGGATTTTTACGGTGATTTAAAATATTTTTCAGTATGTACATCTACTAATTTAATGAGAACATTCTAGAAGCCTAAATATATAGAAATTTCAAATTATTTAGCCCCTTATTGAAAAAAATCAGATAACATATACTCTTAAACTTACTTAAACTTAAAACCTATATCCTTCTATATAGTGCAACTTCCTGGCTATACACATTGAAAGTGGTCACTGAGCCAAAACTAAGTACTTGAATAGATGTTCTATATTTTAAAGAATTCAGGTTCTAAAACAACTTTGTGAACTATGGAAGAATATTTCTGGCAAAATCTTATCATTCTTCTATGTCATCTTCAATAACTCTGTACTAGTAGGACCATATTAGAAATATAAAAGTCCACTCCCGTCTCCCATGCTAGACTCATAATCAACTCAGAAAACAGAATCAGTGAAGACATCAGAGCCTATGTGAGAAAGAGGGCATATTTTAATAATGTCTCATACCAATAATATATTCTCAGTGATATTATAAAAATAATAAAAGTTGAAAATACTTATTTTTAATGGTTCAAATTAAGTGTTATAATTATAAACCAAATAAAATGCCACAAAATGGGGGGAAAGTAGCAAAAGCTGAAAAAAGTAGAGAAGACTAAAATTCCACAAGAATAAGAATTTTTTTTTTAGACGGAGTTTCACTCTTGTTGCCCAGGCTGGAGTGCAGTGGCAAGATCTCAGCTCACTGCAACCTCCGCCTCCCGGGTTCAAGTGATTCTCCTGCCTCAGCCTCCCAAGTAGCTGGGACTACAGGCACCCGCCACCATGCCCGGCTAATTTTTGTATTTTTAGTAGAGAGGGGGTTTCACCATGTTGGCCAGGCTGGTCTCAAACTCCTGACCTCAGGTGATCTGCCCGCCTTGGTCTCCCAAAGTGCTGGGATTACAGGCGTGAGCCACCACGCCCAGCTGAATAAGAATATTTTTAAAACTCTGCTTCAAAAAGGGAATACAGCAGGGCATACTATTTCTATGGTACACAATTCAAGACAGACTCAGTGCTGAATCCCATTCCTGCCACTTACTCTCTGGGAATAGCAGGCAAGTTGTTTAACCACTTGGAACCTTATTTCCTCATCTGCAAAATGGGACTTGCTTAATGCTTTCATGATGGTGTGACAAAGACACATAAATTACTCAGCACAAGGTACATTTGTAGTGTTCTTCATTGGTAGATGGAAAAAAAAAAAGACTACAAAAATCCTAAAGGATCACGGTGACATATGACAATAACACAGGCTGTGCCTTACAAAGAGAGCCAGTGCATCCAAAGCCAGACATCCACCAAAGGTCACAGGATATGAAATAATGGGTGCCCCTGATCTTGATGATACATTGTTGAGGAGATAAAAATTAAAGGCTAAAAAAACAAGAAAATGAGGTAAACATTTAATAGGGGTCAAAGAGACAAGCAGGTCAAAGTAAATGACTAAGAGGGAACTGGTCAATCTGATACAACCACATCCAATCAGAAATGGCCTTGATGATGTTCAGGGAAAAGTAAAGCCAGTAACAGCTGGTTTATGAGACACATTTGCTGAGCTTTGACATTGACTGCTCTACTCCCAGGAAAGAAGGCAATGAGGTCTTTAGCTAGAAATTTGCTATCACTTTCATGTGACAAGAGTCTAATGTCCTTGAGGCATTGGGAAGGACACTCAAGGGTCTGAATCAGAGTTCATCAAAGAGTGACGAGTGATATCCCACCACACAGTCAAGGTTACAGAAAGACAGACACCAGGTATTTCAGGCCTGAGAGTTCTGTCCTATGAACAGTGGGATTCAAGACAAGAGCTCATTCCCAGAGAATGACTCCACTTGACTGAGTAGAGCAGAGTGGGCCACATCAGGTTCAATCCAAGTTCTCCGTCAATACATACCTGCAACAGCCACTGTTTTGCATTTATCAACAGGTTCCTTTAAAAGTATTCTCAGGTACGCTTGCTGAGGCAGGTTCTCGTCTTCTATTTCATGTTTCCCAACCAGACACTTTCGGGCATCCCAAAGAACTCAATGGTGTGCCTGGGACAGAGAAGCAGTTTCAGTTTAAGCACTTCAAAACGGAATCACAAAATTCTAAAGCTGAGAGAGATTGTGTAAATTCAGTCCAGCTCACTATAAATAAAAGGATTAAAGTACTTATAAACTTGGAAACAAAGAATTCACAATGAACCTTCCTTACCTCCTCCCATTTTTTCTTTCTTTTCTAGCTTTTTAATTGTTGTATTTTTTACAGTAGTATAATATATACATATAATATAAAGCTTACTCCATCTTTTCTAATTAAAAGTTAAGTCTTAGGCCTATAACTATAAAAGGTGTTTCTCCTTTTATATATTTATCTACTATTTTTAGTTGCCAACAAATAACTGATTATCATAAATTAAGTATAAGTTTGAAGTTTCAGCTTCAAACTGAAAACAAAGGTAACTACTGAGTTATCATTTTTACAAGCTGATTTATAAAAGTGTCATGATCTCTCTGGGGCCAAAACATTACCCTCATAAGTAACAGCTTTTATAGTTATATATGTGTAAATGGTACACATTTCCTGGTAGCATAATCAGGAAGCTAGAGATAATGTCTTGTATTAAAGAACAAAGAGGGCTGTTCATTTAGTGCCTCATTTGTAGTAATTTGTACTTATATGTGAAAGAATATAGAATCTAATGGTAGTCAGAAAGGTAGTATATTTTAGTTCGATCATATTTAATTTCATCAGTAACATTTTCTTTTTTTTCCTGTGATAATCTATAAGAAGTAGGCTCTCAACCCTTTTCAGGATCATATAAGCCCTGCAGTATTGAGTATCTGATGAAAACTAAGCCTGTTCTATCCCTCCCCACTTAAATCTCAGGACAATCGTTAACTCCTTAAAGCTATCCCTGGACCCCAGGATAAAAATCATAGGTGCTCTCCAGCTGTCAAGCCGGAGAGCTGATACCTTGAGCCAACTAACAGGCTTAATTCTATAAAGAAACAATTCTTATAGAACAAAACAATCCACTACTCTCAATAGTCCCAAGGACTTACTTAGGACCAGGCATCCCTCCGTACCCTCCCAACTTTTAATCATACTTTATTCTATCTGTAAGAAATGGTGCTACATCTGTAAATAATCAAACATAGGTACAAAGAAAGCAGTTATCAACTGAAACAGCAATAAAATAAAACAAACAAAAACTAGGACTCTTTTGCCATTACATTAGCTTAAAAGTATTCAATTAAAGTTTCAGGCCGGGCATGGTGGCTCATGCCTATAATTGCAGCACTAGCCTAGGCAACAAAACGAGACCTCATATCTACAAAAAGAAAAAAAAATAACAATGCACAGTGGTGTGTGCCTGTATTCTCAGCTACTTGGGAGGATGAGGCAGGAGAATCACTTGAGCCCAGGAGGTTGAGGCTGCAGTGAGCTGATTGTGTCACTGCACTCCAGCCTGGGTGCCAGAGTGAGACCCTGTCTCAAAAAGAAAATTAATAAAGCTTTGAAGTAAAATATATTTATATAAAAGGGCACCATCTCCTAATACCAACATATGGTTTATAAACCCAAAGATAAAGTCAAAAGCTTAAAAAAGATTATACCTCAGGAAAGAGAGTATCATCTTAAATTCAAAACCTTACCAGGTCTCATATTACAGACAATAATCTCAGTCTATTTTGAATAATGAAATAATGTAACAAGTACACTTAATGCTAGCTTTCGATGCTTATGGGTCACTTGACAGAAACTGGCTAACAAGAAGGAAGCAAAGAAATAGAAACAATTATTTCTAGAGGTTGGATGTCACAATAGGAAATATGAGAAACCATTTTATAAAGTCCTTTTAAATATTATTTTAAAGAGCAATACAGATTTGGGGGTTATAGATGGCCAATGGAATAGGCCTATTTATCTCTGCTTCCTTCTAAATGCCCATCAAAATGTTAGTAAAAACGAAAAAAGATATAAATCCATAAGGACAAAAAGAATAGAAAACTATATTAGAGCAAACAATAGGCATCACTGATGTCTGGAAAGCGGAGATGACTGTGGAGTCGAGCAGAGCTGGTGGGAACCTCCCTGCCTGTGAAGCAAAAAGCCAGCTGACTGTGACAGAAATGCTTAGGAAATGATGGAGCTTCTGGTTCCTCAGAAGGGGAGTGGGGAAGACTGAAAAGATGGGGGTGGTGAAGTGTGTATTAAAAAAAAAGACCCTTACCCCACACCATAAATTAAAGTTAACTCAAGATGGACTAAACACCTAAAATTAAGACCTGAAACTATAAAATTCCTAGCAAAAAGAAAAAAAAATACATAGAGGAAATGCTTCATGACATTGGAGTTGGCAATGATTTTTTGGATATTACATCAAAAACACAGGTAAAAAGGAAACACAAAATAAGCAAATGGGACTACATCAAACTTAAAAACTAAAGGAAGTAATCAACCAAGTGAAAGGGCAACCCACAGAAAATATTTGTAAACCATATATCTGACAAAGTGTTAATATCCAGAATATATAAAGAATGCCCACAATTCAACAACAAAAAGCTAAATAATAATTAAAAATTGGCAAAGGACTTGAATGGACATTTCTCCAAAGAAGATATACAAATGGTCAATAAGTACATGAAAAGATGCTTAACATCCCTAATCATCAGGAAAATGCAAATCAAAACCACAATGAGATATCATCTCACACCCATTAGAATGACCACTATCAAAAACAAAAATAGAAAATAGCAAGTGTTGGCAAAGATGTGGAGAAGTTGATCGGAATATTGGTACACTGTTGGTGGGAATGTCAAATCGTACATCCACTATGGAATAAAGTCTGGCAGTTCCTGAAAACATTAAGAATAGAACTACTATATGATCCAGTAAGCTCACTTCTGGTATGCATCTGAAAGAATTGAAAGCAGGGTCTTGAAAAGATATTTGCAGACCCCTGTTCACTTAAGCACTACTCACAATAGTTAAGAGGTGGACGCAACCCACACATCCAATGGCAGATGAATAAAGAAAACATGGTATATACATACAATGGAATATTATTCAACCTTAAAAAGAAGGAAATCTTCTTATATACTGCAACATGGATGAACCCTGAGGACATTATGCAAAGTAAAACAAGTCAGTCACAAAAAGACAAATATTACATGATTCCACTTATATGAGGTATTTAAAGTAGCCACATTTACAGAAACAGAAGGTGGTTCGTAAGGTGGTTCGTAGTTGCCAGAGGCTGGGCAGGCAGGATAAAGGAGTGTTGCTGTTCAATGGGTATAGAGTTTCAGTTTTGCAACATAAAATGTTCTAGAGAGCTTTTGCACAACAATGTGTACATAGTTAACACTACTGTACACTTAAAATGGTTATATTTTATATTATGTGTTTTTTACCACAATAAAAACAAACAAGAGATTATCCTGGATTATCTGAATGGGCCTAATGTAATTACCAGGGTCCTTAAAAGTGGAAGTGGTAGACAGAAAAGGAAGTCAGAGTAATGCAATGTGAGACCATTTGACCACTGCTGACTTTAAAGATGGAAAAGGGCCAGGAGCCAAGAAATGCAGCCAGCAGCTAGAAGCTAAAAAATAAGAACAAGGAAAGGTACTCTCCCCCAGAGCCTCTGGAAAAGAGTGCAGCCTGTGGACACCTGTTTTGTTTTGCTACAGGGTCTCTCTGTCGCCCAGGCTGGAGTGCAGTGGCACAATCCCTGCTCACTGCAACCTCTGCCTCCAGGGTTCAAATGATTCTCATGCCTCAGCCTCCTGAGTAGCTGGGACTACAGGCATCCACCACCACATCTGGCTAATTTTTGTATTTTTTGGTAGAGACGGGGTTTCGCCATGTTGGCCAGGCTGGTCTTGAACTCCTGACTTCAAGTGATTTGCCCGCCTTGGCCTCCCAAAGTGCTGTGTTTACAGGCATGAGCCACTGCGCCTGGCCCGTTGATTTTAGCCCAGTGAGACCTGCATCAGTCTTCTGACCCACAAAACTGTAAGATGATAAATTTGTGTGGAACAAAGAAGGGGAGGAGGGAGGGAAGAAGGGAGAGAGGGAGGGAGTTAGAACCCCAGATCCTCTCCCTCACCTGGTAGAGCCAAACAAACCATCCCTACTCCTATAAGAAGGGGCAGTTTGCCCTCTGGAGAAAATGATACAGCAACACTTCAAACCTAGACTCCAGATAAGGCTGAAACGAAAGCATTGGATCTAGGCATTCTCAGGCTTGGATGGTGAGATCTCTGGCTCCCTTCCTCCTCACTCCTCTGTGGTGCCCCTTAATCCTCATAGGTAGGCTTACACTCCACAAAAAAAGTAAACAAAGAATTCCATTTTGGAGAAACTGAAAGGTCCAAGGAAAAAAATCTGCAGATTTTGATACATGATAATCACCCACTGAAATGGCCAGTAAGGTCTCTGCCCAAAGACCTTAGAGTGAAGCCAACCACGTAACAAATTTGCGGTCCATTTTGTATTGTCTCACTCTTAAGTATGAACAGACAACTAAATCCCCAGCACTCATTTGGGAAGAGCCTTTAACATTAAAATCAGGGATCAAAACAAGAAGATAAAGGGAACACACAGGAAAATGTGCAAAGAACAGCAAAAAACAGCAAAATAATTCAATTCATATTCTCAAAAAAAAATGAGAAAATATTGCATCTATCAAACAAAAACAGGATCCTAATTTTAAAAACAAAATATCCATAGACCCTCAAAAATTAAGTTCAAAATTACAAACCTGCTAGCAGAAATTAAAAATTCAATTGATACTAAGAAAACCTCTCAGAAAGTTGAAGAAAAACACAGAAAGATGGAAAATAGCTAAGAGTAAGACTTAAGAAAATTAGAGATCAAACTAGTAGGTGAAAATACCCAACTAACAGACTAAGAAAAGAGAGAATGGGGGGGAAATTATCAAAGAAATAGTACAAGAAAATTTACAAATTGAGAGACATCAGTTTCCAAGCTGAGAGGACAAAAACAACAAAAAGTGTCCCAATATGAAACTGCAGAATTCTGGGCATAAAGAAAAGCATGAAACATTTTCCAGAGACAAAAAAAAAACAGTTCACAAACAACCAACTTGGAGGCAGAATGACTTGAGACATCTCAACTTATATCACAGAGCTCAGCCACAAAAAAAATAATAAAGTAGACATTAATACTTATCTAAATATAGACTGTAACAATGACTGCATCAAGAAAATAAAGAGACAGGAAAAGTAGGTATGTAGTAAGGGTAAAGGGTGGTCTATGAGAGAGAACTCCCCGGCAGGAAATCAATGCATAAGTCTAAGATTTTAAAAGGAATCAGTAAATGGCACTTAGAGCATATGATGTGTTGTTTAGAAATAGGTAGACAAATACTGGAAAATACAACTAAAAGGATTGAAAAGGGCTATCTTTAGGCAAAGGGGCAATAAGAGTATAAAAAGAACAAAGAATGGCTATTAGAGTACTATTTGAATTCTTAAACAATATACATGCAATTACCTCTAAACAAATAAAATAAATAAATGAAAGGAAAGAAGGAAGGAAGGAAAGGAGGGAGGAAGGGAGAAAGACTTAAGAAAGCAGTTCTACAAATTGTTACACAGTAGAGATCTTCAATGTTCATCTACACAGAAAGAATGAAAACAGCAACTGTCCTAACATTATGCAAATGATTACTTGTGGCTTGGGATAAAATTTCCAAATAGAGTGCCATACATAGACTCCAAAAGTGCTGTACTGCAAACACCTAAAATGATAACAGGCTGTGGAAAATAATATTGAATGCTTAAAAAATGTGACTCAAATAATGAAGACACTGATGTCAGATATGTATGTAAAGAGTTGGAAGAAAATTATTCTGGGGTAGGAAAAAAGCATTAGTTATAATATCCCATTTTGTATAAATACATACTTGTTCAAAATATGTACATAACTAAATTAATTAAATGGTAATATGTATTTGACTATTTCATCTATATCCCCAAGATATTCCTTATATATTCCAATTGCCCACAAAAATTGTTTGTTTAGATCCTCTCATTGGGAGAACACAGAAAATACAAATTAAGCATAAAAGGTAAATAATTTAAAAATCAGTTTACCTGAATCATGCTGTTATTTTTCTTCATCAGTCTTCTTTCCAATCTAGAAGAAGTAATAAGTAAATTAAAGTGCATTCTTTGTGCAATGAGCTGCTTATAAGAAAAAAAACTAAAATCCAAGTTAACTATTATTCACTTCTTGTTACGTATACATAGGAAAAAAAAAGCATTATTTCACCAATTCCCAACTAATTTCTGGCTGTCATGGTATTCAGAGTACACTTCTATTAGACAACGCCAAGCAGAAACAAGCATGCAAATCCAATGCCAATAAAAAAACTGCACACCAAATGCATCTGATGGTATAACATGAGTTTTAAAACCATGGACCTTTATAAATTATCTCCTCTCAATTTAGGTAAATAACTGCTAACTGACAATATAAAAAAGATAAAGAAGCAAGAAAGCGTATTTTTCAAACCATAATAATTACCACCCTGGGATAAATTTTCATTTTTACCAAAATGCAATCAATAGCAAGTTAAGTGGAACAACCACAGACCACATACATAAGTGTATGATCAAACAGCTTATAAATAACTCTAACCCACATCACCCTAAAGGCTTAAAAATGCTTCCATGTTTTATTTCATGAAAGACTTTCTCAGCTAAAAATGAAATATGACCCTTTGTAAGTAAAATATACACATGAATTAGGGTACATGCAGAAAGGGGAAAAAGCCTATTTTTTAAAAAATTAGTAAGCCCAGAAATCTTGGGTGGCTTAATAAATTTTCTTAAAGTGAACACCACTCTCCCAAAAAGTCAACACTGCCCTGCCTTCAAATAGCACACATTAGTTTTGCCTGTTGGGCTAGGTATAATTATTTAGGGATCTGTCTGGGAGTCTAAGAATCCCTGTATCTGGACAAAAATAAAATGCTTTAAGGAAAGGGGAGCAAGTAGTGGCTGACTGCAAAGTGGTATTATTTCAGAAAGATGTTAACATGTCTGAGGAAAAAGTTTTGGCTGATTAGTTGATTGTATGAGGTCAATCTGCCAGTTCTCCAGAGACCAAAGGACAGAGAAGCAGTTTATGATAGAAACAGAAGGGGAAGGGCCTTCCTGTTGTCCAGGAGGAATGGACTTCTGGGAATAAGATGGGAGAAGGCAGGAGCAGAGGGGAGAGAAGGGAGTGGGGAGGGACGGTGGCCTTCTTTCTATAGGTACAGAAATACCTATAAAGATAGTAAACAAGCTAGTCTGTGCTAGAAGCTAGATGAAATTACTAATGCATGATCTCGCTTAATCTTCCAATTCCTATGAAGCCTGTTTTGCTATCCCCAGTTGACAGATACCAATACTGAGTCTCAAATCACCAATATGGTGTCTGATGTAAACAGTTAGTGGGTGAAATAAAGCTATTCCTCTTTACAGCTTGAATGCAGGGCTAGATTTGCCATCAACAAAAAGAGAGAGATTCATGAAAATGAAGCCTTATAATTAGATACAGAATATGCTGTTTTGTCCCTGCCCATAAATCATTTAAAGGAAAAGAATCAAGTTATTCAGGACCTGAGAAGTCTTCTGAATTACCAGAAAGTGAAATAGTTTTGTCACTTGTAAAGTAAGCCCACGTTATCTTTTTGTACATCAAAGAAGTTTCAAAAGAAACTAAATTTCATAAGGGATAATTTTCTGACACGTTAACTGGTTTTATGGCACTGTGTGCTTTCCCACTGTAACGGGAGAACTCAGAAGAACAGTGTCCCTCAGAGATAGCCACAGATGCAAAGGGCAAATTACCACCAGATAATTATTGAAGAACCCATGACAGTGTCATCTTCAAATGGCATGCCACACCTGCATGAATATTTAATTTCTATCACAAGTACTTTCAAAAAGCAGGGGCCAAAATAGGAACATAGTTGAAAAAGGGCACTTTCCATTCTGGCATTTGACAGGAAGAAAATAAAATATCTACCTTTTAAGGCAATATGTAATATATCAAAGACATGTAGCTAAAAAGATCTTCCTACATCCTCACTGGTGAACACAAAGTAGTATCTCAGTGACAATAAATGATCATCAGACATCATGATATGCCTTTACACTTAACCCCACAAGAACCCTATGTGTGTGTGTTGGGTAAAGGGTGGAGGGTGAAGGGCTTAGAATCCCCAACTTAACCAGATGAAGACATTAGGCTCATAACAGAGGTTATGTTGTAACTTGTCCAAGGTTGCAAATTTGTCCAAGGTCAAACTTTGAGGAAATGGGAAAGGGTTCCAAATTACGTGTCGGATACCTTTAGGCTATTGTGTTGACCATAACAGCTCTGCCTTAATGATGAACATACTTGAATTTGTTTTTCAATCAAAATCATCTAGTGATTCATTCACTATTTTCCAGTTTCAAATTGCTTTTGCTATCTTCCCAAGTAAAGGATCTTGACACTCCTTCCTCCTGTGAGATGGAGTAAGTATTCTGTCAGTGAGTGGCTTGAGAAGGTCTAGAGGGACTCTTTTTAGGATAGCTGCTAAAGCCTCTGAGAGCACCCTGGTGATCTTCCTTTTATGGGATCTAGCACATGGAATGCATAGTAAAAGCTGCAGGCTTGATTTTTCAGTGGACATATGCCATGAAGATACAATGCAAAAAGTTCTTTCTGGGACTCTATGAGTAAGCAAGTTAACAATGCATGCCATACACAGCAAATCATCTAAGGAAAAAAATTACCCAAATTATACTTAAAAGGCTGTGGCTCTAAACTTTCAATTTAGGATGGAGCAAAGTACGGCATGAGTCTTTGTAGACATTAACCTAATGACATTCAGAATACTGGTGGTGGGGGGAGTGTGGTACAGAATAAGGTACTCTTCCCCTATTCAATAATTCTGGTATAGCAATACTCGAACTCCTATGTGTTTACTACTGGTGACTTCCTCTCAAGGAAAACACACTGGAGTAAGAGAAGGTTCAGAGGGTAAAAAGGAATGGGCATATGAACCAAGGTTGTGGAAAGAAAAGATTAAAGTTCACAAAATTCTGCAAGGCATTGGCAAGCTCCCACTTTACAAGTTTACATTTATAGGGCCAACCCTTTTAAAACTTATTACTTCCTCTTAGATTGTGGGGGGCAGTGGTTTCATTCTGGGGCCAATCTGATTGATCAACAGGCAGTGGTTTCCTGAAGCAACACCGAAAGACAGTGCCCAAATCAACTGCCATTGTCTGCTATGGACACACGATGTGGAAATTGCAGCAGGCATGCTTCGTTTTTGGCAGCCCTGTCCCACACCCTATTATTAGAGTTCAGTAGTCAATTCTCAGGGGAAAGATGGTGTGTAATAAGAAATAAATAATATAGAGAGACCAGGAAGAGCACTCCATTAAAACTGCATTTTATTAGAGTAGTAAAAAGTACTGAAAACTTTCTCATTCTTACTTGTAAACAGCATGTTTTGCAAATTAGAGCCTGGCTTAAGAGAATACAAAATCTAAAGTAGAAAGTTTGTGTTTTCTTCCTTTATACAATGTTAGTGTTTTCTTCCTTTAATATCTAACTTTCAATAAACAGAGTTTAACTGAACCTTTTCTTCCTTTCTTCTGCTTGGAGGAGAACCTTTACTCTCTCTCACACAGGATCCTGCTGCTGTCAAAAAGCCCCAGGCATGGTCTCTAGCTTTGGTGACTGAAGGTTGCAAGTCTCTTGCTGCAGTCACCCTCAAAGCTTCTTCCTGCCAGCAGCTGGTATCACTGGTAGCTCTCTTCACAAGGGAGGACTTTCCACTACACTTAAGGAAAGACTTAATCTTCCCTTCACTACACTATATTCTTACCTTTTCTAGATTAAAAGAGTAATGCAAAGGGTAAAGCCCTTCCTCAAATTTTGCCTCAATTTACAGCCAAGCATGATTGTCTTGGGCAAGTTACAGAGCTCCTCTCTCAAAACTGCTGGCTGAGATGTAAGAGAAAACAAAAAATAAAAAAGACCATCCATTAACTACCCTGGGAGTTCAGCAACTTCCAAACTGGCCTCTCAAACCGGTTTCCCTTTTCCTGTAAAACGCATTTGCATAGAGGAGTTTAGAATAACAGGTTCACCTAGAAGGAAAGAACAGACTTACACATTGCAATCTACTAAAAATGTGGGAGCTGAATCAGGGATTTAATGAGGCATAAAAATTCCCAAGAAATATACCACATGCCCTTAAGGAAGTAGTTACTAAAAAAAGATGATAAAGAGTGAAAGCAACTATGCTCCAGGCAATGGTGAGATAGGTTCATGGGAACAAAGCAAAACTGGTAAAAGACTGGAAACTAAACCAGTTTTAAGCATGACCTCAAAACAAACAACATCTCCTCTCACCTTCCCAGAAAGAGTGACCAAGTGCCTTTGCTTAATGCTGCAGAAAAGAAGAGGTACTTTATCCCTTCATTCGGCAAACATTTATTGAGCATGAAGGTGGGATTATATAGAGATGAAAGAGCAGCTTCCCTGAAGGAGCTCAGTTTAGCAAGGAGAAAAAAACCACGTAAATCAGTATTTACATTTCTATGTGGTACCAGGGAGTCATAACACCGAGCTAAAGCACAACATCAACCAACACAACCACTTCCATGGTAGGGGCCAGACACAATTCTAAATTTTTAGGTAACTCATTTGAATCTTTGAAACAAGTCTATGAGACGCAAACACTTTTCCTGGTTTACTGGTGGAATTAGTGTGTATGAGATATAAAAAAGGATCTTTTAAACACAAAGACTTTATTCAAATTAAATCTTCAAATTATGCCTCCCTCCCCAAATACAAATCTCAATCCCTGTTTTAGCCTTTGCAGGTTGCCCAGCAGTATCTGAGGTTCCTAGAACTCTCACTGAGAAATTCACAAATTGAAGAAATAATTTCCTAACATCACAGGACTTGTTATCAAGGGCCACATCAGTAATGCCCTGCCTCCAGTAGAGCATTACTAAAACCAAACAAAATGAGAGCAGTTTTGTTTGTTTTTAAATCCTTACCCACAGATATACCAAAATAATCTTCTACATTATTTAATCCTAGCTTCTTCGCGGGCAAGAGCCACATTATCTCTGTGCTTAATGAGTTCTCAGTACATAAGACAGACATTGGTTCGCACCCAGTAAAATCATATTATATTTGTGTTACCAATTAAATCAAATCATTCTTCTCAGTTATTGTCAAGACCACCTTTACTTTCTATATTTATTCATTATTTTCTTTTTTAATTTTCTTTTTATTTGACAGATAATTGTATATATTTATGGAGTATAATGTGATGTATTTTGATATATGTTTACAATGTGGAAAGATTAAATCAGGCTAACACATCTATCACCTCACATACTTATTTTTTATAGTGAAAACATGTAAAACCTATTCTTATAGCAATTTTGAAATCTATGATGCATTATTTATTAATATTACAGTCATCATTCCTTACAGTAGATTTCTTGAACTTATTCCTCCAATTTATCTCTCCATCCCCTTCTCCCCTTTAAACATCCCAGCCTCTGGTAACCACCATTCTACCCTCTACTTCTATGAGTTTGACTTTTCAAGAATCTACATATATGTGAGATCATGCAGTAACATAATGTCCTCCAGGTTCATCCATGTTGTTGCAAATGACAGAATTATCTCTATCCTGCCCCTACTTTTTAAAGGGTGAATAGTATTGCATAGTGTGTATATGCCATATTTTCTTTATCCATTCATCTGATAATGGACTCCTAGGTTGTTTCCATATCTGAGCTATTGTGAATAAGGACACAATAAACATGGGAGTGCACATATCTCTTCTACATTCAGATCAAATTTCTTTGGATACATTTTTAGAAGTGAGATTACTGAACTGTATGCTAATTCTATTTTCGGTTTTCTGACAAATCTCCATACTGGTTTCCATGATGATTGTATTAATTTTCATTCCCACCAAAAGTGCACAGGGGTTCCCTTTTCTCCACACTAGTCATTATTTTCAAGACTAGACTACTACCCATCCTCAGAAGAGTTATTCATTGCTAGGTATTTGCTCCTGCAGTTCCCTGTAATGCCCTTCCTCTATCCTGCTCCCCACACTGTTAATCCATTCCCATCACCTGGCTTAGAAAGAACAATGGAAATATGATCTAGTAAAATCTGAATTAGGAATTAGGTAATTACCACCACACTATATTAGAACATAATACAATTTCCATTAAAACTGTCTTCACACAGTCTTATTCCACTACCAACATGTTTAACTAAAGTAGTACTAACATGTTTAGTTTAACTAACTAAAACTGTTAATGCTTAAAAAAAAATAGTTCTCTACACTGTGTTTAATCTACTGTAGTCCAAGCAGCCTCTGTCTGGAACAGTAATACTCTCTCCCTAATAGTCAGAAAGTCCCACAAGCATGGGTTATGTCATATCTCAAATATACAGTATATAATCCAGCAATTTAATAAATATTTTTAAAACTAAATGCCTTGCCTTTTGAACCTGGATTCTTTTTAGATATGGAGAATAAATATCTATTGAAAATTAAAGGAATTCATAGAACAATGAGACTTTCTTAATTTCCTTTTAAAATACTTTGAAGGAACATTATGGCTTCAAAAGAAAAGTCAACATGAATTGTCAAAACCAAGCTATCATAATAAACTTTCCAAGTCTCAAAACCTGTCTCTGTGTTTCTAAAAGAAGCAAAATTTAGCAAGCAAATAAGAATAAAATGGACTAATAAAAAACTTCGAGTTTACTCCAATATAGAAACAGACTAAAATATAAAACCAAATTACAATGCAGATAACAGGAAATGTTTTTAACCAAGAATAAACTAATATATTCAAACCAGATTTGTAGTAGACATATTTCAGGGAATCTGTTCACCCACTCCCATTTCTGGGGGACTCTGCCATATTCTCAGGCCCAGTTGTCTTTCGATTGCCATCTTATATCACCTGACACAACTCCACAAGCACACAGCCATAGCTGATTGGACCCGAAAGAACACTTGACCCAAAGAGAGCCATTCAGAAGCTGGCCAGAAGCCTAGGGCTTGGGTTTGATTACTTGCTAAAATGATGAACTCAGCCAATCAGTTTTGCTGCTGCAGGAACTAGAATCAAGAAACCCTAAAGGAACTTGCCAGTTAGATGTCATGGTGAAAGGTCAAGAGGAACACTTAAGCTCAGGACAATCATCATGGGCCAAGTCTGCCACAGAAAGCAAGTACTGGACTGAAGCCAGTTCCCAACCTGAGGTCTCAGGAGATCTATATCTTGAACCCTTTTGTTGAGTGAGAGTGACCTGGTTTTTGCAACCAAAAGACAGAGCTTATGATAGCAACCTAAGTTAAAATCTTATATCAAGACCTACCACTGACATATTTAGTAAGGATAAAACCACCTTCTTTTAGATAATTAGAGGAAACAGCTTACATCACTTAGTAAGAAATCTGAAGTCAGGTTTTTTGTTTGTTTTGTTTTTAAAGGAGTTTTATTATTTTCAACTTGTCTCCTCTGGAATTCTGGTTCTTCACCTATAAGGTGAGGTCTGTTTATTAGACCCTCTCTCTAAGTTCTCTTGCATGGTTTATAATCTCAGTACAGGCACCCTGAGACAAAGGAAGCCTCTCTGTGGGCAGTGTTTGGACAGTGGTGGAAAACATTCTTCATTACCTTGGCTGTCACATGATGAATTCTCATTCTATTAAATTCATAATTAGAACTAACAAATTTTTCTATAAAAATTCTTAAGATGAGTCAGTTCATAGGCTATCTCATTTTAGGCATAGGTACACAGAATATTAGAATTTTTCATACTGTTGATTGTTCTATTTTTCATTTAAAATATTTACTTATACTCAATGCCCTGCCTCTCCCTTAAAAACAAAACAGAACAAAACAAAACAAAACAAAACAAAAACTAAGAAGCAGAGAGAGTGCTATCCATTTAGTCATTAGAGGAAATACTTAGATCAGAAATGATGCTACAACCTTAACCATACATTTTCAATACTGCACTTTGGGGAGCAGGGGGCATGATAACAAAATAAGATATTGGATATATAAATATTCTTATTATTCAGGCTTTAACATAAATTAAAAGAGCATTTATCTCAGAGTCTGAAACTGTGAGTATTCAATGAATAAAACTGCTCCAAAAGCATTTTTTTAAATATCAGAAAAACTGTCCAAGACTGAGAAATGGGAAAAAGAGATTCCTGGGTATGTTTCCAGAATATCCAAGTCAATAAGGCTATGCACTTTTGACTAACTTTCCATTTCACTGTCAGTAATTACAAATAATTCTTGTCCATAGCAATGTAAATAAATGTTGTCCGGTAGAGATATGATTGATATCTACCTGGAAGAAAAGATAACCCCAAACATTACATTTTATTGCTCTATGGATATTAACCAATTTTGTTACATATTGATACATTTATTTCAGCATTCCTGGGGGTGGTTTCAGTTTCTCAAATTTGCCTTTAATTCATCTCAGTTAATTCCCTCATTAACTGAACTGAATGAACCTTTGATATACGTTCATTTTATGTCTGCATGCAATATGCTTTTAACTTTTCAAAAATTACTCTTTAGCAGTAACAGTCCATTTTAAAAATTAGTCCATTACAACATCTAGAAAGGTATTTGTTGTTCACAATAAATGGTAAATATATAACTCATCAGGCTATGAATAACTGGTCCATGTTATTTGGAAGCCAGGTTGATATAGTTTGGCTCTGTGTCCCTACCCAAATCTCATGTTGAATTGTACAATTTTGGACGTGGGGCCTGGTGGTAGGTGACTGGATCATGGGAGTAGTTTCTAATAGTTTAGCAACGTCCCCCTAGTGCAATCTCATGACAGAGTTCTTACCAGATCTGCTTGTTAAAAAGTGTGTAGCATCTCCCCAACCATTCTCCTGTCAACCATGTAAAGATGTGCCTGCTACCCCTTCACCTTCCACCATGATTGTTAAATTTCCTTAGGCCTCCCCAGAAGCAGAAGCCTGTACAGCCTGCATAACTTTGAGCCAATTGAACCTCATTTCTGTATAAATTACTCAGTCTCAGGTAGTTCTTTATAGCAGTACAAGAACAGACTAATACAGAAAGTAGGGGATGGGTGCAGTGGCTCACACCTTGTAATCCCAGCATTTTGGGTAGCCGAGGCAGTCGGATCACCTGAGGTCAGGAGTCCGAGACCAGCCTGGCCAACACTGTAAAATCTTGTCTTTACTAAAAATACAAAAAAAAAAAAAAAAAAAAAAAAAAATTAGCCAGGCATGGTGGCGTGTGCCTATAATCTGAGCTACTTAGGAGGGTGAGGCAGGAGAGTCATTTGAACTCAGGAGGCATAGGTCGCAGTGAGCCAAGATCGTGCCACTGCACTCCAGTCTGGGCAACAGAGCAAGACTCTGTCTCAAAATAAAAAAGGGAAGGGAAGGGAGGGGAGGGGAGGGGGAGGGAGAGAGGAGGGGAGGGGAGGGAAGGGAAGGGAACTGTTATAAGAGAAGCAGGGCACTGCTATAAAGATACCCAAAAATGTGGAAGCAACTTTGAAACTGGGTAACAGGCAGAGGTTAGAACAGTTTGCAGGGCTCATAAGAAGACAGGAAAGACATGGTAGAAAAGAAAAACCCATTTTCTGAGGAGAAATTCAAGCCAGCTGCAGAAATTTGTGTAAGTAAAGAGGAGCTGAACGTTAATAGCCAACACAACAGGGAAAATGCCTCCAATGCACTTCAGAGACCTTTGTGGCAGTCTCTCCCATCACAGGCCAGGAGGTCTAGGAGGGAAAAATACTTTTGTGGGCCAGGCCTAGGACACCACTGCGCTGGGCAGCATCAGGTCATGGCTCCTTGCATCCCAGCCACTCCAGCTCTAGCCATGACTAAAAAGGTCCAGATAAGTCTCAGGCCACTGCTCCAGAGGGTGCAAGCCAGAAGCCAACAAGGCTTCCATGTGGTGTTAAACCTGCAGGTGCACAAAGGTCAAAAGTTGAGGCTTGAGGGCTTCCACCTAGATTTCAGACATTATATGGAAACATCTGGATGTCCAGACAGAAGTCTGCTGCAGGGGCAAAGCCCTCATGGAGAACCTCTACTAGGGTAGTGCAGAGGGGAAATGTAGGGTTGGAGCCCCCACACAGAGTCCCTACTGGGGTACTGCCTAGTGGAGCTGCAAGAGGAGGGCTGCCTTCCTCCAGACCCCAGAATAGTAGATCCACCAACAGCTTGCATCATGCACCTGGAAAAGTTGCAGGCACTCTATGCCAGTCTATGAAAGCAGCCATGAGGGCTGAGCCCTGCAGAGCCACAAGAGTGGAGCTGCCCAAAGCTTGGAAGTCCATGCCTGGCATCAGTGTGGCCTGGATGTGAGATACAGAGGCAAAGGAGATTATTTTGCAGCTTTAAGATTTAATGACTACCCTGCTGGGTTTCAGACTTGCATGGGGCCTATAGGCCCTCTGTTTTGGCCAATTTCTTCCTTTTGGAATGGGGGCATATACCCAATGCCTGTACTCCCATTGTATGTTGGAATTAACTAACTTGTTTTTTATTTTACAGGCTCATAGGTGAAAGGGACTTGCCTTGTCTCAGATGAGACTTTGGACCTGGACTTTTGGTTAATGCTGGAATTAGTTAGGACTTTGGGGGATGGTTGGGAGGGCATGATCGTGTTTTGAAATGTGAGAAGGACATGAGATTCGGGAGGAGCCAGGGGCAGAATGATATGCTTTGGCTATGTGTCCCCACCCAAATCTCATGCTGAATTTTAATTCCCAGTGTTGGAGGTGGGGCCTGGTGGGAAGTGGTTGGATCATGGGTGTGGTTTCTAATGGTTTAGCACCATCTCCCTAGTGCTGTCTCATGATAGAGTTCTCACAAGATCTGCTTGCTAAAACATGTGTAGTACCTCCTCCCACTCTCTCTTTCCCTTCCCAGCCATGTGAAGATGTGCCTGATCCCTTTCCTTCTGCCACGATTGTAAGTTTCCTAAGGCCTCCCCAGAAGCAGAAGCCTGTACATCCAACAAAACTGTGAGCTGATTAAACCTCTTTTCTTTATAAATTAGTCTCCAGTAGTTCTTTACAGCAGTGTGAGGGCAGGCTAATACATAGATCATGCAAATCAGACAGAGTGATACAGATGGTAATGAACAAATGGCAATGACATAACAATTTCACTTGTAAAGCAAGTTACATTCCCAGTCTGTTACGTACATCAGTGGGTAACAACTGATGGACAGCCTTGAATTCCAACTGCATAGATGTATGTCATGAATCTGCTTCTTAACAGATATAATATAAATAAAATCCAAGTAAATGCATGTAGAAGATGGTACATGTGTGTAAAAACATAGCTAAAAACACAGTCAGATCCACACAATGAAGACAGCTGGAACACATAACCAAGAAAGTAAAGGGATCCCATCTACTAAGAAATAAAATATTTTTGTCCCCAATATAATGGCCTTATCCTTAGTTTTCTGAACTAAATAGCTATACCTCTAAATTAGCAAAGTAACACATGTATTTGTAAGCAAAAATTTCTAAATCCTTAAAACCTTTCAACTCCCCAGAATAGGGGCTTAGGATTCTCTACCTATCTATCCCTTGATAAGACTTCTTTAAAGGACATATTGTAGACATTAACAAAAAAAATAGAGCCAAATGATTTCTCTTTACAGGGTCAGTGAGTAGGAGGTTAATTGTACCATCCATTTTTGTAAATGTTATAAGAAAACCTATCAACTGAAAATCAACAGAGGAGTTTTTTAATATAAGTAACCTGATGCATAAAAATACATTTACACAAAGGATTTACACAGCAGAAATCATAAAGATTCTTGCAAGTAAAAGTCTCCTACTGAGATTAAAAATAGGAATTTATTTTTGTATTTTACAAAAATGTCATTTAAACACAATTTTTCAAAGCTACAACAATCGATTCAATTAGGAAACCATTTCAAGCTTCACACAAATGTAAAATTGCCCCTGTTGTAACCACATAGTGTACTTAGATTTGGGGAATTAAAGATTTCATGTTACTCCCATACAAGGTACAGGAACCACCTTGATCAGTAAGATCAGTCCCCTCTTTCTCCCATTCAGTTTCCAACCTTTCTTTTCAGGGGCCATCCACCCCCCAACCAGTTCCTAGATGCCAGTCACATTCCATTAAAAACCCTTCTTTGTCTGCAGTTACCTTTGGTTCTTTGCTCCAGAATTTCTCCAGCCTTAAATATGTTAATGAGTATAGTGAATTTCCAGTAATGCACCATCTTTTGCTCTCCAGAACTCCAAGGACTACATCTTAGAAATTAATGTCCTAGTGAAACTGATTCACTTAGCTTGGCTCTTGGGTTCTCTCCATTGGATGTATTCTTCAGCCAAAAGATAAGTGTCCATCCAGGCCAGCAATATGCAGAGACAAAGAGGACCTTACTAGCAAGTATGATCTAAGGTGCCCAAGAATCATTCATGCACTAACTCACTGCCCTAATGTCCTAGATTTGCATGATTAAAGTAGTAACAACTATGGGCTACCAAGCATTGTGTCCCTTAGGAGTCCCAAGGCAAAACAGAAATCTAGCAAAACTCTTGGATATTGAACAATATATTGGAGATTAACTGTCGAGTTAACAGAAAAGTGACTTTCTGAGCTAAATTTTTTATATTCTCCTTTAGTAAGTGAAAATCTTTCTGAACCGCATTATATTTTTTTCTTACTTTTCCCATGTTTGCAAAAGTAATAGATTTCATTGACAAATATTTAGAAAATAAAGACACACACAGGCAACAAAAATTACAAATAATTTGTAATTTGCCCTTGGTCAAAAGCACTTACATTTTGAAACATTTCTTACTGGTCTCTTTTAGCACACCACCAAGGGAAAATCTTTGATTCACTGATGTATATATATTTTTTATATATACATCATTATATGGATACATCCTTTAATGGATGTATGGATATTTCTCATAGATAAAAGAGCAACACCACAAGTATTTCTTGATTTCTACAACTGAAGTACATCTTAGAAGGAATCTATTTCTTTTCTAAAATCATATAATAATTTATGGGCCCATGAGGAGTATGCCATTTAAAGGGCTCTAATTAGGAATATTTTTGTAAAACTCATTTCATTAATTATCTTTCTTTTATATCCCTCCAGCCTTTTACATTCTATTAGTTCTTCTTTCTCATCAAACAGACTTATTTATGACATTTTCAACCTAAAACAAAGAAAGAAGGATGAACGTCTATAGTATACAGGAACATAACTCATGCAGTGAGTACTACATGAGAGGATACCTCACAGGAGAGTACCTCACCCACACCCACACTGGTAGTTCAGCAAAAGCTTTCTGGTTTTGGTCCACATGGTCCACATGACATTGAGCTAGGTCTTAAAGAAAACGAGAGTATTAAGCAGTCACTGATGTATATCTTAAGCACCAAGAATATCCTGGCAGTTAGTGCTAAATAAATGCTTACTTGGTTGCTTAGAAGCAGCTGTGGACAGCAGCTCCCACCAAGCAGAATGAAAACGGCGAATGAATCCTGCACCTTCAACTGAGGTATCCAGATTCTCTCACTGGGACTGACTAGGTAGTTGGTGTACCATGGAGAGTGAGGAAAAGCAGGGTGGAGCCATGGCACACCCAGGAGCTGCACAGGGCAAGGGGAACTCCCAACCCCAGCCAGGGGAGGCATTAAGTGATTGTGCTACCCTGCCCAGGAAACCATGCTCTTTCCATAGATCTGTGCAACCGTGGATCTGGAGATACCCTCGTGAGCCCATATCACCAAGGCCTTGAGTCCCAAACACAGAGCTGTGCAGACTTTCAGTGGCCTCTTGGTTTGTGGCCAGTGGCAGCAGGCTGAAGGCTACCTAAGATGACTGAGTTCCTGTCGGGGGGCGGGGGCAGCCACCATCACTGAGGCCCTAGTCAGCTGTTTTCCCCTGCCAGTGCTAAAGAGACTGGGCAGTTTGGACCAAGAGGAATTCCCCACAGCACCGCACAGTGGCTGTGGCAGATCATGGCCAGACTGCTTCTTTAGGTGAGACCCAGATCCATCCCTTCTTACTGGGCAGGGCATCCCTGTGGGAATTTCAGCAACCCCAGCCAGGGATTTACAAACAAAACTCTGATCTCCCTGGGAAGGAGCCCCCATGGGGAGGGGTGGCCACAGTCTCTGCAGCTCAGCAGACTCAATCTTTCCTGCCTGCTGGCTCTAAAGATTGTTGGCAGTCTGGATGGAGTCCGAGCAGTCTGGACCAAGGGGATTCCTCACAGCCCAGCACACCCACTTCGCCAAGAGGCAGCCAGAGTGCTTCATTAAGAGGATCCCTCATCTTGTGCCTCCTGATGGGGTGAGACGCCTCAACAGGGGTCATCACACACCTTATACAGGAGTGTTCCAGCTGGCATCAGGTCAGTGCCCTTCTGCGACAGAGCTCCCAGAGGAAAAACCAGGCACCCATCTTTGCTATTCTGCAGCTTCCACTAGTAACACATCCAGGTGTGGGAGGGACTGAGGCAAATATTCTGGAGTGGACCCCTAGCAAACCATAGCAGGCCTACAGAAGAAGGGCCTGACTGTTAAAAACAAACCAACAGAAAGCAACAACAACAACATCAACAAAAAAGACCCCACAAAACCCTATCCAAAGGTCAGCAGCCTCAAAGATTGAAGGTAGATAGAGAAAGAATCAACTCAAAAACTCTGAAAACTGAAAAAGTCAGAGTGTCTCTTCTCTTCCAAATGATCACAACAACTCTCCAGCAAGGGCACAGAACTGGGCTGAGGCTGAGATGGATGAAGTAACAGAAGTAGGCTTCAGAAGGGGAGTAATAACAAACTTCACTGAGCTAAAAGAGTATGTTCTAACCCAATGCAAAAAGGCTAAGAACAATGATAAAACATTACAGGAGCTGTTAACCAGAATAATCAGTTTAGAGAGGAACATATATGACCTGATGGAGCTGAAAAACACAACATGAGAACTTCATAGCACAACTACAAGTATCAAGAGCCGAATAGACCAGCAGAAGAAACAATGTCAGAGCTTGAAGACTATTTTGCTGAAATAAGACAGGCAGACAAGATTAGAGAAGAATAAAAAGGAATGAACAAAACCTTAGAGAACTATAAGATTATGTAAAAAGACCAAACCTATAACTGATTGGGGTACCTAAAAGAGATGGAAAGAATGGAACCAAGTTGGAAACATACTTCAGGATATCATTCAGGAGAACTCCCCCAACCTAGCAAGACAGGCCAACATTCAAACTCAGGAAATACAGAGAACACTACTAAGATGTTCCAGGAGAAGATCAACCCCAAGACACATAATCATCAGATTCTCCAAGGTCAAAGTGAAGGAAAAAATGTTAAGGGAAGCCAGAGAGAAAGGCCAGGTAACCTACAAAGGGAAGCCAATCAGACTAACAGCAGAACTCTCAGTGGAAACCCTACAAGCCAGAAGAGATTGGGGGCCATTATTCAACATTCTTAAAGAAAAGAATTTCCAACCCAGAATTTCATATACGGCCAAACTAAGCTTCATAAGCAAAGGAAAATAAAATCCTTTTCAGGCATAAGCAAAGGAAAATAAAATCCTTTTCGAAACACTGAGGGAATTTGTCATCACCAGGCCTGCCTTGCGAGAATTCCTGAAGGAAGCATGAAATACAGAAAGGAAAAAGCATTACCAGTCACTACAAAATCACACTGAAGTACACAAACCAATGACACTATGAAGCAACTACATTAACAAGTCTGCAAAATAACCAGCTAGCATCATGAGGCTAGGATCATTTGACAGGATCAAATTCACACATAACACTACTATCCTTAAATGTAAATGGACTAAATGCCCCAATTAAAAGACACAGAATGGCAAGCTGGATAAAGAGTCATGACCCATCTGTGCACTGTATTCAAGAGACACATCTCACGTGCAAAGATACACATAGGCTCAAAATAAAGGGATGAAGGAAAATTTACCAAGCAAATGGAAGGCAGAAAAAGGCAGGGGTTGCAATCCTAGTTTCTGACAAACAGGCTTCAAACCAACAAAGATCAACCAAGACAAGAAAGGCATTACATAATGGTAAAGGGTTCAATTCCACAAGAAGAGCTAATTATCCTAAACATATATATGCACCCAATACAGGAGCACCCGAATTCATAAAAAAACAAGTTTTGAGGGGTTTTTTGTTTTTTGTGTTTTTTGAGACACAGTCTCGCTCTATCGCCCAGGCTGGAGTGCAGTGGCATGATCTCGGCTCACTACAACCTCTGCCTCCTGGGTTCAAGCGATTCTCCTGCCTCAGCCTCCTGAGTGGCTGGGATTAGAGGCATGCACCACCATACTTGGCTAATTTTTGTATTTTTAGTAGAGGCAGGGTTTCACCATGTTGTCCAGGCTGGTCTTGAACTCCTGACCTCAAGTGATCCACCCACCTCAGCCCCACAAGGTGCTGGGATTACAAGCATGAGCCAGCGTGCCTGGCCAGATTCATAAAACAAGTTCTTAAAGACCTATAAAGAGACTTAGACTCCCTCATGATAACAGTGGGTGACTTTAACACTCCACTGTCAATATTAGACAGATCACTGAGAGAGAAAATTAACAAAGATATTCAGGACTTGAACTCAGCTCTGAATCAAGTGGACCTGATAGATATCTATAGAACTCTCCTCCCCAAAACAAAAGAATATACATTCTTCTCGGTGCCACATGGCAACTTACTCTAAAATTGATTACATAATTAGAAGTAAAACACTCCTCAGCAAATGAAAAAGAGCTGAAATCATAACAAACAGTCTCTCAGACCACAGCAAAATCAAATTAGAACTCAAGATTAAGAAACTCACTCAAAACCACACAACTATATGGAAATTGATCAACCTGCTCCTGAATGACTCCTGAGTAAATAATGAAATCAAGGAAGAAACCAAGAAGTTCTTTGAAACTAGTGAGAACAAAGAGACAACATACCAGAACCTCTGGGACACAGCTAAAGCAGTGTTAAGAGGGAAATTTATAGCATTAAATGACCACATCAAAAATCTAGAAAGATCCCAAATTGACATGCTAACATCATAAGTAAAAGAACTAGAGAAGAAAGAGCAAACAAACCCCAAAGCTAGCAGGAGACAAAAATAACCAAGATCAGAGCAGAACTGAAGGAGATAGAGATGCAAAAAAACCCTTCAAAAAATCAACAAATACAGGAGCTGGCTTTTTTTGAAAATATTAATAAAATAGATACACCACTAGCTAGACTAATAAAGAAGAAAAAGAGAAGAATCAACTAGACAAAATAAAAAATGATAAAGGGAATATCACCACTGACCCCAAAGAAATACAAACAACCATCAGAGAATACCATAAACACCTCTATGCAAAAAAAATTTAGAAAATCTAGAAGAAATGGATAAATTCCTGGACATATACACCCTCCCAAGACTAAACCAGAAAGAAATTGACTCCCTTAATAGACCAATAACAAGTTCTGAAATTGAGGCAATAATTAATAGCCTAGCAATCAAACAAACCCAGGACCAGACGGATTCACAGCTGAATCCTACCAGAGGTACAAAGAGGAGCTGGTAGTATTTCTTCTGAAACTATTCCAAACAATCAAAGAGGAGAAACTCCTCCCTAACTCATTTTATGAGGCCAGCATCATCTTGATACCAAAACCTGGCAGAGAAAATACAAAAAAAGAAACCTTCAGGCCAATATCCTTGATGAACATCTATGCAAAAGTCCCCAACAAAATACTGGCAAACTGAATCCAGAAGCACATCAAAAGCTTACCCACCATGATCGAGCTGGCTTCATCCCTGGAATGCAAGGCTGGTTCAACATATACAAATCAATAAAGATAATTCATCACATAAACTAAACTAAAGACAAAAACCACATGATTATATCAATAGACACAGAACAAGCCTTCAACAAAATTCAACATCCCTTCATGTTAAAAACTCTCAATAAACTAGGTATTAAAAGAACATACCTCAAAATAATAAAAGCTGTCTATGACAAACCCACAGCCAACATTATACTGAATGGGCAAAAGCTGGAAGCATTCTCCTTGAAAACCAGCACAAGACAAGGATGCCCTCTCTCACCACTCGTATTCAACATAGTATTGGAAGTTCTGGCAGGGCAATAGGGCAAGAGAAAGAAATAAAGGGTATTCAAATTTTAAAAAGAGGAAGTCAAATTGTCTTTGTTTGCAGATGACATGATCCTATATCAAGAAAACCCCATCGTCTCAGCCCAAAAGCTTCTTAAGCTGATAAGCAACTTCAGCAAAATCTCAGGATACAAAATCAATGTCTAAAAGTCGCTAGCATTCCTATACACCAACAGCAGACAAGCAGAGAGCCAAATCATGAATGAGCTCTTATTCACAATTGCTACAAAGAGAATAAAATACCTAGGAATACAGCTAACAAGGGAAGTGAAAGACCTCTTCAAGGAGAACTACAAACCACTGCTCAAGGAAATCAGAGAGGACACAAACAAATGGAAAATCATTCCATGCTCATGGATAGGAAGAACTAATATCATTAAAATGGCCATACTGCCCAAAGTAATTTACAGATTCGATGCTATTCCTATTAAACTACCATTGACATTCTTCACAGAATTAGGAAAAACTATTTTAAAATTCATATAGAACAAAAAAAGAGCCCATATAGCCAAGACAACCCTAAGCAAAAAGAACAAAGCATTTCCGGGTGCGGTGGCTCACACCCATAATCCCAGCACTTTGGGAGGCCAAGGCAGGTGGATCGCTTGAGGCCAGGAGTTCGAGAGCAGCCTGGCCAATGTGGTGAAACCCTGTCTCTACTAAAAATACAAAAATTAGCCAGGTGGGGTGGTGCACACCTGTAGTCCCAACTACTTGGTAGGCTGAGGCATGAGAATCACTTGAGCCCAGGAGGCAAAGGTTGCAATGAGCCAAGATCCCACTACTGCATTCCAGCCTGGGCAACAGAGCAAGACTCTGTCTCAAAAACAAAAAACAAGCAAAAGAACAAAGCTAGAGGCATCACACTGCCCAACTTCAAACTCAAAAACAGGCACATAGACCAATGGAACAGAATAGAGTACTTAGAAATAAGAGCAAACCTCTACAACCACCTCATTTTTGACAAACCTGACAAAAACAAGCAATGGGGAAAGGATTCCCTATTTAATAAATGATGCTGGGATAACTGAGATAGCCATATATAGAAAATTGAAACTAGATCCTTTCCTTACACTTAATACAAAAACTAACTCAAGATGGATTAAAGACATAAATGTAAAACCCAAAACTATAAAAACCCTAGAAGAAGGCAACACCATTCAGGACATAGGTTCAAGCAAAGATTTCATAATGAAAACATCAAAACCAATTGCAATAAAAGCAAAAATTGACTAATGGAATCTAATTCAACTAAAGAGCTCCTGCACAGCAAAAGAAAGTATCATCAGAGCAAACAGACAACCTACGGAACGGGAGAGAATTTGTGCAATCTATCCATCTGACAAAGATCTAATAACCAGAGTCCACAAGGAACTTAAACAAATTCACAAGAAAAAACAAATGACCCCATTAAAAAGTAGGCAAAGGACATGAATAAACACTTCTCAAAAGAAGATATTTATGCAGCCAACAAACATGAAAAAAAGCTCAACATCACTGATCATTAGAGAGATGCAAATCAAAACCACTAGATGCCATCTCACACCAGTCAGAATGGCAATTATCAAAAAGTCAAGAAACAACAGATGCTGGTCAGACTACAGAGAGATAGAAGTGCTTTTACACTGTTGATGGGAATGTAAATTCATTCAACCATTGTGGAAGACAATGTGGTGATTCCTCAAAGATCTAGAACCAGAAATACCATTTGACCAACAATCCCATTACTGGATATATACCCAAAGGAATATAAATCATTCTATTATAAAGATACATGCATGCATATGTTCATTGCAGCACTATTCACAATAGTAAAGACACAGAATCAACCTAAATGCCCATCAATGATGACTGGATAAAGAAAATGTGGTACACATATACTATGTAATACTATGCAGTCATAGAAAGGAATGAGATCATGTCCTTTGCAGGGACATGGATGGAGTTGGAGGCCATTATCCTTAGCCATCTAATGTAGAAACAGAAACCCAAATACCGCATGTTCTCACTTATAATTGGGAGCTAAATGATGAGAACATGTGGATGCATAGTGGGGAACAACAGACACCAGGG
Organism: Homo sapiens; assembly: GCF_000001405.40. Lineage (NCBI taxonomy): Eukaryota > Metazoa > Chordata > Mammalia > Primates > Hominidae > Homo > Homo sapiens. The sequence continues at coordinate 50,487,150 of NC_000010.11, forward strand.
CCTATCAAAGGGTAGAGGGTGGAAGGAGGGAGAGGGACATGGTTGGAGCTGGAAGCCATTATCCTCAGCAAACTAATGCAGGAACAGAAAACCAAACACTGCATGCTCTCATTGATAAGTGGGAGCTGAACAATGAGAACACATGGACACAGGGAGGGGAACAGCACACACAGGGTCTGTCAGGGGAAGGGGGTGGAGGGAGAGAGAGCAGATGGAAAATAGCTAATGCATGCTGGGCTTAATACCTAGGTGATGGGTTGCTGGAGCAGCAAACCACCATGGCACATGTTTGCCTATGTAACAAACATGCACATCCTGCACGTGTACCATGGAACTTAAAATAAAAACTAAATAAATAAATGCTTACTTTCTGTATAATTTTTATATATTATTTTAAATACTTTTGCATATTTTGTACACGTTTTTTATGCCTTATATCTTTTGTATGTTTCTTATCTTATAAATTCATTCATTTTATAAGTTTACAACTATATATACTACCTCATAATCTTTTTCATTTCAGAACACATGAATGTACTTCTAGGTCATTAAACTATTAAATATTCTTCCACATTTATGTACCTGTCCTCACTTCCATTTTTTGAGAGATGGCTAATTCAGTGCTTTGTGGAGAGCTGAGGTGTTTTTTCCTTATAATAGAAGAGTTACTCAGGTTTCACTGCCAAATTTTAGAAAACATAATTGGGTTTTATCCAATTGAAGGCCTAATACCCATACTATTTTACAAGTATTTTCACTACAGTGTTTTCTGAAAATTTTCTCATCTCCTTAAACATGTTTTTGAGGATATTTCCTGATTTTTATTTTGTTTTTATTTTATTTATTTATTTATTTATTTATTTATTTATTTATTTATTTATTGAGACTGAGTCTCACTCTATTGCCCAGGCTGGAAAACAGTGGTGCGATCTTGGCTCACTGCAACCTCTGCCTCCTGGGTTCTAGCGACACTCCTGCCTCAGCCTTCCAGGTAGCTGGGATTATAAGCGCCCGCCACCATGCCCAGCTAATTTTTGTATTTTTGGTAGAGACGGGTTTTCATCTTGTTGGCCAGGCTGGTCTCGAATTCCTGACTTCAAATGATCCATCCACCTCAGCCACCCAAACTGGCTGGGATTACAGTTGTGAGCCACTGCACTCGGCCTATTTCCTGATTCTTAAAACAAGAGCCTCCAGAACCCAATTTCACATAGTCTTCTTGAGACAAGGTCATCATTAGAACACTGATTACAGTAATATGCCATAGCTATGGGTACAGACGATATGCATATAAATCAGAATAAACAACACCAGCATATACCCTAAATCTGTTTTATTCTTTTGAAGAAATTAATATCGGGCTTTTTAATCAGTGGTCTCTCTTTCATAAAAGTCAAAGAAACATAACATCAGTATAGGTGTCTACAAAATGAGTCAATATTCCAGACTTTTCCCAAGTAACATTCTCATTCTCCATATAAGAATAAAGAGGAAAAAGAAAGAAAAATTATTTTCCCATTACTATGCTTGGGTAATTTCAAAACAACCTCTATGATTTCTGAATCACTAATGGAAAATCTTTGTCAACAGCTTCAATTAACTTCTTTTTCCCATAGTCAGTAAGAAATGCAAATCCCTCAACACCTCTCAATTTGTACCAGGATAATTGAGGTTTTTCCAACACCTGCCAATGCTCTCCTATCATTCATCAGGAGACCTTTCTGCATTGGTCATAGTTTCCTCAAGCTCCGTGGCTCACTGATTATGATCCAAATTTCAGGCCCAAGCAACTCTATGAGATTAAAGATGCTTTTTAAAAAGCTATAATCATTTGGTGATCTTCCCTGAATAATGAATAAACTTCTTCATTAAATATGTTCCAAAAAATTTCATATTCTACAGGCATACTATTAAACAAATGAGACTGGAAGTGTCAGACAAAGAGAGAGGATGTATTTGCCAATACTAACCTCTAGCCCTGATTCTACAGAGTGGACACTATAATCATTTAATTATTGAAGTGGGCATAAGGAGTAATCTTTTAAGTTATCTTTCATTGAAAATACACAAAGCGTTTGGAGACCATCAGCACCATAAGCAATAGGCAAAATATATACCAAATTCACCCACAGAACTTACAACTGCATCTTCCACATGACAGAGACACTCAACAAATTATCCGAAACATGTGGATGCTTTCAAATGATAACATTTTTCATTCACCATAAATTCTTTCCCTCCATGGGAACCTTCAGGATTAATATATGTGATATTATTCGACCTGCTTCTTAACCTACTTAAATTTGGGGGAAGCCTGATTCACAAACACCTGCTAGGGTGAAAGTGACAAGTCTCATGTAAGCATCCAGTTCTGTCAGCAGTATAAAACTGCTTAAGGGAAAGACCATGTTTGAAATAGCTTTTCCAAAATAGCCACGAACTTGTTCTGCAGTTCCATGGTGTGCTGTTTCAACTCAATTACATCAACCCTCCAAACGTTTCCCTTTGAAAGGTCAAAATCACTCATTAAAAAATAAACATGGTGGCTGGGCACGGTGGCTCACGCCTGTAATCCCAGCACTTTGGGAGGCTAAGGTGGGTAGATCATGAGGTCAGGAGTTCAAGACCAGCCTGGCCAACATGATGAAACCTCATCTCTACTAAAAATACAAAAATTAGCTGGGCGTGGTGGCAGGTGCCTGTAATCCCACCTACTTGGGAGGCTGAGGCAAGAGAATGGCTTGAACCCAGGAGGTGGAGGTTGCAGTGAGCTGAGATGGTGCCACTGCACTCCAGCCTGGGTGAGAGAATGAGACTCCATCTCAAAAAATAAAAATAAAAAATAAAAATAAAAACGGCTTAGTCAAATACATTTGCCTGAAGCAAACTGGTAATGTGAAGAAATGGCCCTAGTCTCAAGTTCAGAGATATGACTTAAGTCCAGTCAGCTATCAATTTGCTTTTTGACTTTAAGAAGGTCTTTGTCATCTCTGGGTCTTAGAGAAAGTGAGTTTTAATCTACTAAACAGGGAGTTGGATGAAATGCTACTCTTATGTGTGATTCTGTATTAAAATGATTTGCATTTATAATTATTCCTAATATTCTAAATTATGAGCTAGAGTCAAGTTTGATTAGTGTTGATTAAAAAATTGCCATGAGAGGTGATATAGTATAAGGGTAAAAGACAAGCTTTGAATTTAAGAATGTAAATATGACGCCTAGGAGAAGGCATTAGAACTATGTGGGGGCATTTTTAGACGGCCCAGTCATCAGAGTCCCTACTGGCATTTAGTGGGTGGGTCCAAGGTAGCTAAATGTCCTGAAATGTGTGGGACAAGCCTACATAGCAGCAACACTGAAGAATCTCGATTTCACATCATATGGTTTCTCGTTAGCTCTGTGACCTTTAATGACCTAAGCTGAAGTCATTTAATTCTAAGTCTCAAATTCCTCAAAGGTAAAATGGAAACAGTATTATCGATCTCAAAGAATTCTTGTGGAGGCCAATGTGTAACTTCATGGTGTGGGTTCGGAGCAAATCCTTGCTCTACCACTTACTATCTGTGGGCTCAACTTCTCCAATTTCCTCATCCATAAAACAGGCAAAAAAATTGCAGGAATTTGACAAGTAGTGACTGAACACATGTTAGCTATTATTAATATCAGTGTAGACGTAATTATTGATAAGTGCTCAGTGGGTGCTCCCACTCCATGGCCTCTCAAGACCATGTTATGGAACCTAAATACACATGTTCCAAATCTCAATAACTACACCCAGCTCAGACCACCCTTGACAAGAATAATTAGTAAAAAAGAGTAGTGCTTATTCATTAGTGATATTAATTGATATTTTAGCAAACTGTCTTTCAAAACAAATCTGTAAACTGCTATTTAAAGAAAAAAAAAGCAGCAGCAGCCAGGTACAGTGGCTCATGCCTGTAATTCCAGCAATTTGGGAGGCTGAGGCAAGAGAATCAGCTGAGCCCAGGAGTTCAAGAGCAGCTGGGGAATGCAGGGAGGCCCCATCTTTACAAAAAGGAAATTTAAAAAGAATACAGCTGGGCATGGCAGTACGGGCCTATAGTCCTAGCTAATTGGGAGGCTGAGGAAGGAGGATCCTCGAGCCCCACAGATTGAGGCTATAGTGAGCTATGACAGTATCACTGTACTCTAGCCTGGGTGACAGAGTGAAACCTTTTCTCTTAAAAATAAATAAATAAGAATAAGCAAATAAAAAATAAAGACCTTCCACTAATAGATACTCAGCACATTCCTCATATTTAAGTATCAGAAAATTCTTCATCCAGCAAAGTGAATGGCTCCCATGCTCATCATGGTTGCCTACAGTTCCTGAGTTTTAATAGGACACTGATAGGTCAGAATTAAGATTGTGCTGTCATAAACTAGAAAATCTAGAAGAAATGGATAAATTCCTGGACACATACACCCTCCCAAGATTGAGTTGGGAAGAAATTGAATCCCTGAACAGACCAATAACGAACTCTGAGATTGAAGCAGTAACAAATACCCTACCAACCAAGGAAAAGCCCCAAACCAGACAGATTCACAGCTGAATTCTACCAGAGATACAAAGAAAAGCTGGTACCATTCCTGTTAAAACTATTCCCCAAAACTGATGGGGAGGTACTCCTCCCAAACTCATTCTATGAGGCCAGCATCATCCTGATACCAAAACCTGGCAGAGATAAAACAAAAAAGAAAACTTCAGGCCAGTATCCCTGACAAACATTGATACAAAAATCCTCAACAAAATACTGACAAACCAAATCCAGCAGCACATCAAGAAGCTTATCCATCACGGTCAAGTATACTTCATCCCTGGGATGCAAGGTTGGTTCAACATACGCAAATCAGTAAATGTGATTCATCACATAAAAAGAACTAAAAACAAAACCAACATGATTATCTCAATAGACGCAGAAAAGGGTTTTGATAAAATTCAACATCCATTCATGTTAAAAACTGTCAATAAACTAGGTATTGAAGGAACATACCTCAGAATAATAAGAGCCATCTACAACAAACCCACAGCCAACATTGTACTGAATGGGCAAAAGCTGGAAGCATTCTTCTTGAAAACTGCCACAAGGCAAAGATGCCCTGTCTCACCACTCCTATTCAACATAGTATTGGAAGTTCTGGCCATGGCAATCAGGCAAGAGAAAGAAATAATGCGAAGAGAGTCAGTCAAACTATCCTTGTTTGCAGATGACATGATCCTATATCTAGAAAACCCCATCGTCTCAGCCCAAAAGCTTAAGCTGATAAACAACTTCAGCAAAGTCTCAAAATACAAAATCAATGTGCAAAAATCACTAGCATTCCTACACACCAACAATAGTCAAACCAAGAGCCAAATCAGGAACAAACTCTCATTCACAATAGCCACAAAAAGAATAAAATACCTAGGAATACAGGTAACCGGGGAGGTGAAAGACCTCTACAAAGAGAACTACAAACCACTGCTCAAAGAAAGTCAGAGATGAAACAAACAAATGGAAAAATATTCTGTACTCATGGATAGGAAGAATCAATATTGTTATAATGGCCATACTGCCCAAACCAATCTGATTCAATGCTTTCCTATTAAACCACCATTGATATTCTTCACAGAACTAGAGAAAACTCTTTTAAAATTCATATGGAACCAAAAAAGAGCCCCAGCAGCCAAGGCAATCCTAATGAAAAAGAACAAGAACTCCACTATGGGCCAAAAGACCCACTTAAACACCTATCTCTCTATCTGTAGGAAAGAGAGCTCTTCTCTTCTCCTTCTTTGGCCTTTTAAACCTCCTCTCTTAACCTCACTTTACCTGTATCTGTGTCCTTGATTTCTTTGTCATGAGGCAACGAACCTCGGGTATTACCCCAGACAACAATGCTGCTTCAAAACTATACTACAGGGCTACAGTAACCAAAACATCATGGTACTGTTACAAAAAGAGACACATAAACAAAAGAAACAGAATAGAGAACCCAGAAATAAGACTGCATACCTACAGCTATCTGATCTTCAACAAACCTGACAAAAACAAGCAATGGGGAAAGGATTCCCTATTCAATAAATGGTGCTGGGATAACTGGCTAGCCATATGCAGAAGATTGAAACCGGACCCCTTCCTTACGCCATATACAAAAATTAACTCAAGATGGATTAAAGACTTAAATGTAAAACCCAAAACTAGAAAAGCCCTGGAAGACAACCTAGGCAATACCATTCAGGACACAGGCACAGGCAAAGATTTCATGATGAAGATGAAGATGCCAAAAGCAATTACAACATAAGCAAAAATTGACAAATGTGATCTAATTAAACTAAAGAGCTTCTACATAGCAAAAGAAACTATCAATAAACAGACAACCTACAGTATAGGAGAAATTTTTTGCAAACTATGCATCTGACAAAGGTCTAATATCCAGAGTCTACAAGGAACTTAAACAAATTTACAAGAAAAAAACAACCCCATTAAAAAGTGGGCAAGGGACACAAACAGACCCTTTTCAAAAGAGATACATGCAGCCAACAATCATATGAAAAAAAAAAACTCAACATCACTGATCATTAGAGAAGTGCACATAAAAACCACAATGAGATACCAACTCACACCAGTCAGAATGGCTATTATTTTCCATTTTGTTTTTTTGAGACAGAGTCTTGCCCTATTGCCCAGGCTGGAGTGCGATGGCACAATCTTGACTCACTGTAGCCTCCACCTCCTGGGTTCAAGTGATTCTCCTGCCTCAGCGTCCCGTGTAACTGGAATTACAGTTGTGTGCCACCACGCCCGGCTAATTTTTTGTATCTTTAGTAGAGATGGGGTTTCACCATGTTGGCCAGGCTGGTCTCAAACTCCTGGCCTCGTGATCCACCCGCCTTGGCCTCCCAAAGTGCTGGGATTACAGGCATGAGCGCCTGGCACCTGGCCAGAATGGCTATTATTAAAAAGTCAAAAAATAACAAATGCTGGCGAGGTTCTAGAGAAAAAAGAATGTTATACACTGTTGGTGGGAGTGTAAATTAGTTCAACCATTGTGGAAGAAAGTGTGTTGACTCCTCAAAGACCTGAACACAGAAATACCATTTGACCCAGCCATTCCAATACTGGGTATACATTCAAAAAATAAAAATCATTCTATTATAAAGATACATGCATGCCTTATGTTCATTACAGGACTATTCACAATAGCAAAGACATGGAATCAACCTAAATGCCCATCAGTGGTAGACTGGATAAAGGAAACGTGATACATACAACGTTGTATACTATGCAGCCATAAAAAAGAACAAGATCATGTCCTTTGAAGGAACATGGATGGAGCTGGAGGCCATTATCCTTAGCAAATTAACACAGGTACAGAAAACAAAATACCACATGTTCTCACTTGTAAGTGGGAGCTAAATGATAAGAACACATGGACACGTAGAGGGGAACAGCACACACTGGAGCCTTTCAGAGGGTAGAGGGTAGGAGGAGGGAAAAGATTAGGAAAAATAACTAATGGATAGTAGGCTTAATATCTGTGGGATGAAATAATCTGTTCAACAAACTCCCATGACACCAGTTTACCTACATTAAGAAAAAGGCCGGGCGCGGTGGCTCACACCTGTAATCCCAGCACTTTGGGAGGCCGAGGCGGGCGGATCACGAGGTCGGGAGATCGAGACCATCCCGGCTAAAACGGTGAAACCCTGTCTCTACTAAAAATACAAAAAATTAGCCGGGCATAGTGGCGGGCACCTGTAGTCCCAGCTACTTGGGAGGCTGAGGCAGGAGAATGGCGTGAACCCGGGAGGCGGAGCTTGCAGTGAGCAGAGATCCCGCCACTGCACTCCAGCCTGGGCGACAGAGCGAGACTCCGTCTCAAAAAAAAAAATAAAATAAAAAAAAATACAAAAAATACAAAAAAAAAAAAAAATTAGCCGGACGTGCTTGCAGGCGCCTGTAGTCCCAGCTACTTGGGAGGCTGAGGCAGGAGAATGGCGTGAACCCAGGAGGCGGGACTTGCAGTGAGCTGAGATCGCACCACTGCACTCTAGTCTGGGCAGCAGAGTGAAGATTCCGTCTCAAAAAAAAAAAAAAAAAAGTTAAGAAAAAAAAAAAAGGATGTGCTGTATCTGTCAAAGTGTGGAAGAGGCTTAATTAATGATTAAACTGTACTTCTCTGAAATAAAATTTGGCTAAAATGCCTTAATTTTAGGAGAAAATGTTTAAATAGAATGTGATCTATTTGATCTGCACTTTTTCACAAATGCAAGCAGGATAGAAACCATGTTAATCAAGTTAAATTCTGTAAAAAGACTGGTCATTCATACAATAGATGTTCAAAATCTAGCTTTACACAGACCAACAGTTAGGCTCCCAATATTTAAATGTACATATAAACATAGAAGTTTATTCTACAGATGTACTGAAGAATGTGTAAAATAACGAATATAAGGATATACTTCTCAATATTATTTATAAAAGCTCTAAGGTTTAAGTAGGGGGCTGGCTAAAAACATTTTGTTAATTTCATATATTGAAATTGTCCAACTACATTAAAATAAATTGAATAGATTTCTCTGGCTGATATGGAATTGTCACCAAGAATTATAAAAAAAAAAAGAGCAAAGTTTGGAATAGTATGCATATCATACACAGAACATGTTTGTATCTACATAGAACATATATGGAAAAATACATAAGAAAATTTGGCCTATCTCTGGGGAAGGCAAGGGAGAACTGAGATGAAAGGGAGGATTTTCACTTTCGGCATCCTTCTATGTTGTTTACAGAGCTTTTTAAAGTCATGTGCACGTATTTCCTTTTTTTAATTAAAAAATGAACAATTTTTTAAAAATAAAACAGCAGACACTCCATACCTGTCGGTTTTCCTTTATACTGAATCCAGTGTGTTACATGATAAGCATGACCAATGCAGACAGATATTACAGTTCCTTGCTTCTCTGCAAAACCACCAACCACCTTTCCTAAATTTGAGTAGATGAGGCACATGCTGTGCAGGAAAAGGGCCTACAAAACATTTGAAAAGTGTGTTTTTGTATTCTGGTATAAATAATTCTTTAATGGCTCTAAATGTCTTTCTGCCTTTATTGTCAAGCTGGCAGTAGTACCTAGCACGCTGTCTTGCATAAACTTCAAAAAAAGTACTCTGCTGGTCAATGGCTGTTCTTTATCCTCCAGCCAAATGCCTAAGGGACTGTATGAACCTATTCACATCAGTGAACATCAACATACAGCTTCCTTACCAGACAGAATCACACTGTGTACTCTACCACCACTCCACACTATGCCCATCACCAAACACTACCCAGAAAAGCAACGAGGCACACAGCACTAGTAAATGCCCCATTTGTCCTGTTCCTCAACAAAACACAAGCCAGCCCACTTAATAATGTCCAGAAGCTGTTATATATTCCAAGTAGGAACAGACATGGCCAGAGCTGCCTAATGGCTCCCAGATCCCAGTTTAAAGACAACCCTAGGCCTTCCTATATCACATTCCAGGTGATCCCATGGCTTTGGGAGAATAAAAACAGCTCCTCTCTACCAGTACCTAGGCCTGGCTACCATCTCAAATTCATTATGAGCTGTGTGATCTTAGGCAAACTGCTTAGCCTCTCTAATCCTGGATGTCCTCATCCGCAAAATGGTGCCAGTAATGTCACCCATCTATATAGCTCACAGAGCTACAGTAAGGATAAAGCTTTTGGCATCCAAGTAGTCCTCCATGCATGTCAACTAATGTCACTACCAACATCTTTAGACACAAACCCACAGCAGCCTCCTGTTTGGTCTCCCTAATTCCACTCTAGCTTCCACCCACTGGTAAAAGTGATCTTAAAAGGGGGATATGGTAAAGTCATCCTCCACCCTTCTTCCAACACTGAAATGTAGAGACAGCTCTACTGTCATTAGAATGAAGTCCAGAAGGCTCGATGCAAACCTCTCCAAGTGTCAACGATTAACGATGAGAACTCTGCCTCCACCCACACCTCTCTTCCCCACAATAGGGTAGCCTTGACAGATGATCCTAATTCTCCTTTGATGACATTTTCAAACTTACAAAGTTGTCTAATAAGGATCATTATGCACTTCAGTGTGAGCTCCATTCACCACTATACTGCTCACATAGCTATCAACTAACAAGAAATGTTGAGGACTCATCTTTTCAAGAATTACAATCTATACAACCCATAATAGTGTTAAAGCTGGAAGACATGACAAACAAGCTTCAGTGTTCTATCATATTAAACTTGTCCATATGGAGCTGAACAGAACCAGTGAGATTATGCAAGAGAAGCCAAAAGGTAAGTGAGTATTAAATACCAGATCCTGGCCGGGCGCGGTGGCTCACGCCTATAATCCCAGCACTTTGGGAGGCCGAGGCAGATGGATCGCCTGAGTTCAGGAGTTTAAGACCAGCCTGGCCAACATAGTGAAACCCTGTCTCTACTAAAAATACAAAAAATTAGCCGGACGTGGTGGTGCATGCCTGTAATCCCAGCTACTCAGAAGGCTGAGGCAGGAGAATCATTTGAACCTGGGAGGCGGAGGTTGCAGTGAGCCAAGATCGCACCATTGCACTCCAGCCTGGGCAACAACAGCAAAACTCATCTAAAAAAAAAAAAATTCCAGATCCTTCAGTTGACAGGTCAGACCAGATGATTCATCCACCTACCATCTAACACTGTGCCTAACTGAAATGCATGACTTTCAGTTAGAGGTTTCACTTTGGACATATCTGTTTACCTATTTGAATGTGAGCCCTAAGTTATTTTTATATTTTGCTTTTCCTCTCAGGCTGAGAAAGCTGCTGCTAAAAACTCTCAGAGTAAAAGTATGCTGATATCACACTCCAGGGAATTTGGTTTCTAAGAAAAGCCCACTCATTTTTAAAAGACAAGATGAAGAGAACACAGACTTCAAGCAAGTTGGGAGTTAGGGAAATATAACTCAAGGTCTCAATGACTTGCCCACCACCCCTGCTTTTTCAGCAATGCTGTTTGGGGGAGGGGATCATGGTAACTTAACATGGGAAAGATGTGATCGGATAAAATCTCTTTTATCATTCAGAGGGAAGAGGAATTCACAACCAATCACTTCAATCCTTATTTTCTTTTTAAAGCATTATTTTTATTGTGGTAAAATATACATAACATAATTTATCACCTTAATCATTTTTAAGTATATAGTTTTATGGCTTTAAGTACATTCACATTGTTGTGTAACCATCACCACCATCCATTTCCAGAGTGTTTTCAACATCCCAAAGAGAAATTCTGTACCTATTAAACAGTAACTCCCCTCTCAGCCCCTGGAAACCACCATTCTACTTTCTGTCTTTATGAATACACTAGGTACCTCATATATGTAGAAGCATATAGTATTTTTCCTTTTGTGACTAGCTGATTTCACTTACTATAATGTCCTCAAGGTTCATCCATGTTGTAGCAAGTGTCAGAATTTCCTTCCTTTTTAGGGCTGAATAATATTCCATTGTATGCAAACATCCTATTTTGTTTACCCATTCATCCATCAATGGGTATTTAGGTTGTTTCCTCTCCTTGGTTATTATGAATAATGCTGCTATAAACCGGGGTGTACAAACATATCTTCAAGAACCTGCTTTCAACACTTTCAGGTCTAAACCCAGAAGTGGAATTGCTGGATTATATGGTAGTTCTATTTTTAATTTTTTTCAGGAACTGTCATATTGTTTTCCATAGCATCTGTACCATTTTACATTCCCACCAATAGTGCACGAGTGTTCCAATTTCTTCATATCCTGGCCAACATTTGTTATTTTCTGGGTTTTTTAATAGTAGCCATCCTACTGGTAATTCTTTAAGTATTTTTATTTTTAAACTGGCTAATAGAATTAAACTTTTGTCCCATCTATGCAATTGGCTAAGAATATTAGAAAACCTGATTTTCATGAGTATGCTACTATTCACTTTCTGAGAGGTAATTTTAATAATAGCAGCTGAGATTAAATTTTAAAAATAAAGCTTTGGACACAAAACCATCCTGTATTCAAATATGAAACAGCTACTTCTGAAGCAAAGTACCTTCCCTAAGCCTTGGTTTTCTCATTGGTGAAATGGAGCTATGAATATCCATTTCTTAAAGTTCTTGGGAGAATTCACTTACGAAATTGTACAAAGCACTTAGCATGCTCTCTGGCTCCTAAGAAGCACTTAAAGAAAGACAGATGATGATAAGGAGGAGGAAAGTCTCATTATTGCTGGTATACCACTAAAAGTTAAGTCACAAAAAGGTCTCTTTAGCATTGAAATATACATATCCTTTCCTCAACTACTCCCAGATGACCCTGTTTTACAATTCATATATATACTCACCAAACCTCAAGATTGTCACTGTAGACAAGATAGTATTTTCTTATATACAAATTATAAACATAAATATTCTTTTCCCAAAGGCAGGATATTCAGGTAGGACAATAAACAGTGGTAGCATATCACAAAATTATACCTTTTTTCAGTTTGAAAAAGTGGTAACAAGAACTTGTCATATATTTTAAGTTATACTTAATTTAGTTACAGCAAAAAGGTAGAGTGCACATTGTGAGACAAGATTGGTTTTCCCTCTTCTCTTGATTAGTTAATTAAAAAGTTAATGCCAAATGGCTATATTTTAAACGTATGGCTTAGGCTAAATTCACATATTGTATCTAAAAAACAAGCTTGATCAGCCTGGCGCAGTGGCTCACGCCTGTAATCCCAACACTTTGGGAGGCAAAGGCGGGCGGATCATGAGGTCTGGAGTTCGAGACCAGCCTGACCAACATGGTGAAATCCCGTCTCTACTGAAAAATACAAAAATTAGCCAGGTGTGGTAGCATGTGCCTGTAATTCCAGCTAGTCAGGAGGCTGAGGCAAGAGGATCGCTTGAACCCGGGAGGTGGAGGTTGCAGTGAGCCAAGATTGCACCACTGCACTTCAGCCTGGGTGACAGAGCGGGACTCCATCTCAAAAACAAACTAACAAACAAACAAACAAAAAAACAAGCTTGATCTGTTGTAGATTTCCTGGGTATCTTTAACTTGGAATTTTTATCAGGCTTCTCATTTAAATTCAAAGAATCTATGGGAAAGTCTCAGAAATCACTTAACCCAAACTGCCATCAAATAGCTGCTGTTCTGTTTATAGAAATTTACTAATAAATTACAGTAAAATATAAAACAATTGGGAACCTGAAGCAATTGTGAAAGAAGATATATGCTTACTTCTCATTTAAAGAAATCAAATAAATGAAAATCGGTTTTAAAATAAAGGTTAAACCAAAAGGGTACTAATTCACCATCAAAACACTTCCAGACCCTCTATGAGTGTGTGTGCCACGCATTTTTCTAAGCACTTACATTGACACCTTTAATTTCTACATAAGGATTCTGATTTGGGTTCCATTAATATTACAAGGCACTTTAAATTGACCCTTAAAGTTGTGACACATTAACTTTATTCATATACTCCACTGAGAAATATTCATGTGAAATAGCACTCCAAAACCTTAATTATGTTACTGGCTTCAGGACTACCACCTTGGCTAACGTAAGTCCATACTAACTTTTTTCTTCCATCCACCCAGAGACATGGTTCAAAACATCAGGATGCCTTGATAATGGCATTAGTTTAGGTTTATTAGCTCAGGAAATTCTTTCTGTTGCAATCATTGTTCCATTAAAATTCTTTAAAATTACTCTTTAATTTCAGTAACTAAGGTATATGGGCATGTAATCTTAAATATTTCTATGGTAGTTCAAGAGTAATAAGGGATCTCATCTGATTTTCCAAAGAACCAATTAACCAATGCTGGGAAGACACAGGGTCACATTATGAGTATCTATCAACCCTGGGTCTCAGTGATTATGGGGGCCAGCCAGAAGGAATGGCCTCCTTCCCTCTCATCCCATGTCATCCTCTCCTGCAATTTATGCTCTGGCAATAATATCTATACTTCCCCCAAATGTGCCCTTCTGTGGTACCCTCACTCATGCCCCCTAATCCTACTTGGAGTAAATTCTCATTCTTTTCCAGCACACCAGCATCTCCCTTGTGAAGTCCTTCAATTCTGAGGAACAGAGAAAGGAGAGAAGGACAAGTCCACAAACTCTATCATCCTAACAGCGAATGAAAGGGGTTCACAATTATCTAAAACTTAAAAAGGCAACTATTTCCATTATGTATTTTCTACATTTTATATAAAACTTTATATTATATACAAAAGTACTCTGTTACATTTTTAAGTAGGTAGAATGCTTGGTGAAATACGTTTGATTTTTTCCTCTTTTCTGAGTTCATTAAGGAAATTAATTTGCAGAGATAATTCTATATGATTCACACGCAGACCAAAAAAAATTAGCAGGCAATTCTTGAGCTAAAACAGCTTGTAAATAAACATCATGAATATGGACAAAATGTGAACACCCACAAGGCAAGTAGTGAAGAATTCCACCTACATAAATCTAGTGAGTCATACTTTAATTCAACAAGTTGTCTCTGAGTCCTGATAGGGCGTTCTGTCCTATGTTTGGTGCCACAGGAGTTTCCAGAAACCTCAAGATTAGGGCCCTACTTTCAAAGAGGTTAGACAATGTGGTAAGATGTTAAAATTCATGGTATCATTGAAACCCTAAGAAAAATTCTTAAATTACTTTTTAGATAATAAGACATGATTATAAAAACAATTAAAATTTTAAGTATGGGTATTCAGCCAAACTGCACATCTTGCTTCACTGTCCATCATTGTTGTATGTTTGCTGGGGAAAGGGAGGAGTTGGGTTTTTTTTCATTTGTTTCTTTGAGCAGAGGGCCTCCCTTGTGGACAGAGACTATGTTTCCACAATGTACTGTGTTTGCAATTTAGAAATATGTGGGGTTGGCCTTGCCTGCTGGCTGTCAACAGGAACTGAGTGCCCAGGCCCCTGGCTGTTCTGCCACAAAGTCCCTCCTCCCCCAGAGGCCTCTCACCTGACAAGATAGCTATCTGTAGCTATAACTGATCAAAACTGCTTACCTAGGTAATCATCTCTACTGCCTGCAAAAAGATGACTCTTGAATTTCCACCTCCAGCCTCTCCCCACACAAAGATGATTTACAAATGAGGAAAGAAAAAAAAAAAAAAAAACCAGCACAGCAGGAGAAGTCAGTAAAGAACACTACTGGTCCAGGCTCCTCCCTAACTGAGCTTCCGAGGGAAGTAAGGGAGAGGAGAGGTGCCATCCCACTGAGAGCCCAGTTCCTTCTACCTGCCCATGGAAGGGAAGAAAACAAACTTACCAGCATGCTGACCCTACCCTTCTCTCTATCTGGAAAGTTTAGTCTTTTAGGCATACCCACAGAGCAGCAAATATCTGCCCACATTTCACATTTTCCTAATGAGTTTGTTCTTAAATTCACCAAAATTTTAGTATTCTACTCTTTAAAATTGTGCAGATACAAAATTTTGTCACAGGAAAATATTAGGGAAAAAAGAAGAAGAAGAAATACTTTCCTTTTCAGTCCCCAGGTCTCTAACATCAAATGTATTTATGTGGATGCCCTCAAGACCTCACAGCCTTTTTCTAAAGGAAGTAAAAATTTGCAACTTTATAAATGTACATCAACTTTTCCATTTTAAAAATAGTCCCCAAAAGTGGACTGATTTGTTACTGGTCAGAAAATGAACGTATCACCCAAAAAAAATTCTCAGCACAGATCCAATCTCTCCCATGATGCAAACAGAAAGAAAGATACAGTTAAGCACAACCCAAAATGTAGTGAAATAAAATATCATATGAAACCATGACCGATACAAAAAATGGCTGCCAGAGAAAATTCCTTAAATCTCCAAAGAATCATTTTCTCCAACCCTACCTAGCATGGGAAGAACCACCTTAACTGAATGTGAGAATCCTTTATTCCTTAAAGACATGTGAACTCTATTTGTAATGTCTACAGAAAGCTCAGCCCTGGGAGTAAAATTTTAGATGTTCATCTTCCCTTGTCACTGATGGGGAAATGATTACTTACTACCTGGGCCAGAGAGGGAAAATGAACTTGCAGGCTTATGTGAAAACAGCAAAATGCTGTTTTTCTAGAAGAGCTGATTAGGAACACGCTAATTGTCCTAAGTGTAGCGGAGTGAGACCTTGCTCCCTAGTTCCTGTCAGGCCTCTGAGCCCAAGCTAAGCCATCATATCCCCTGTGACCCGCATGTACACATCCAGATAGCCGGTTCCTGCCTTAACTGATGACATTATCTTGTGAAATTCCTTCTCCTGGCTCATCCAGGCTCTAAAGCTCCCCTACTGAGCACCTTGTGACCCCCACTCCTGCCTGCCAGAGAACAACCCCCTTTGACTGTAATTTTCCTTTACCTACCCACATCTTATAAAACGGCCCCACCCCTATCTCCCTTCGCTGACTCTCTTTTCGGACTCAGCCCGCCTGCACCCAGGTGAAATAAACAGCCTTGTTGCTCACACACAGCCTGTTTGGTGGTCTCTTCACACGGATATGAGTGAAAGTTCCCAGCTCGTGGAGGAGAGAAGAGCAGTTCTGTGGGTTTGGCCTTAGACGACAAAGGCTAGGGTTCACTGCCCCGTGCAGACACAGTCCACAGGCACTGTCACTCTGACAGCCTGATATCACTAGGGCCTGAGAGACTGGGCAAGACAGAGGGCTGTCAACATATGTTGACCACGTCACTGTCTGCACTTAACAGAGCAGATTATCAAGATCGTAGAAGTTTTGTACAGAGAAAAAATGAAGGCCAGGCTAGCTGAGTGATTTACGCTGACTGACACTATGCAACTTTGTGGCTACACATCCTCTCGTGTTTTATAAGCATGTTCTACCTGCATCGATATGAGAGAGGATTCTGAATGAGATGGCCTACATAAACAGTGCCCATAGCTCCTGTCTGAAAATTGAGACACAGTCTGACAAGTATAAACAGACATCTGGAATTCATCATGCAGGGTACCTGAAACCAGGACAGGCTCAGAAAATGCAGGGTGTGTCATCACCCTACCTACCTCACTAGGCTCCCAGGCCCCTCCCCTGGAGAGCTGATTCAGTAAGTCCGGGTGGTGCCTGAGAATCTATATTTTTAATAAGTGCCCTGAGGAAATTCTTAAGCTTAGGTAAGTTTGGGAAACACTGGATTGGACTAATTATACTTTGTAACACTTAGCTTTCTCAAGATAGTTCCTACCTTTAAATCCCATTTAGCACTGTCATCAGTTATGTTAGCTTATAAATGGTAACAATAAATGAATTTTATTTTATCTTAATCCCCCAAATAACATAATTTTGATAATATCCATTTTAAAGAAAGAAGTTAAGTAATTGTGCAAGCTCATACAGGTAGTAAGTGACAAAAGGCAATTCTCCAGGAAGAAGGATGGGAAGATGGGGTAATAGGGAGGGAGAGGCAGGGATTTAAACAGAGATCTAACTCTAACAGCTATACTTGTAACCACTATATACACAGCCTCCTATACAAACATCAATCCTGTTCATTTTTTTTTTAAAGTAATGGCGGTTGACTTATTTCTAAAAGTCAAAAAGGTTTAGAAAAACATTTCTGAGTTATTATTCCTTTCTGGCTATACAGAGACCCAAAGATCCAAAAATATCTCTTAACAAATTGTTTTTATCGACTGCTGCTCTCAAATTTCCCTTTTGATGAAGTTTTGATCCTAGCCTCCATACCTCTCCCCAGTAGTAAAAAGATACAATAAAAAAGTCAACAGCTTGGCCAAGTGCAGTAGCTCACGCCTGTAACCCCAGTACTTTGGGAGGCCAAGGCAGGAGGCCAGGAATTCGAGACCAGTGCAGGTAACACGGCAAAACCCCATCTCTATAAAAAGAAAAAAATACAAAAATTAGCTGGGTGTGTTGGTGTGTGCCTGTAGTCCCAGCTACTTGGGAGGGTGAGGTGGGAGGATGGCTTGAGCCTGGGAGGTAGAGGCTGAAGTGTGCTATGATTGTGCCACTGCACTCCACCCTGGGCAACAGAGTGAGACCCTGTCTCAAAAATAAATTTAGAAAATTAAATTAAAAAGTCAACAGCTCCTCCCATAGAAACAATCAGAGGAATTACAATAGGTTATAATTTAGCCCCAAAATCTAGTCAATACCAGATAGAGGGGTAGATTTTTATACCAATTTATAACGAACAAAAGTCATATTCAAACATTTTTCTAGCTGCTCTGTTCTATCATGCCTAACACTGAAATTTTTTAAAAGAAGAAAATCCATCTTTTCCATTCTTCCTGCCTTAAAAAAGACCTGATATGTCAAGTGAACAGTACTTCTACACCCTTCTCCTCTCCAGCCTCAGGTTAATTTAAAAAGTCACTCAAGTTTGAAAAGGACACAAAAACTATAACCAAAGGCAAACTCATGATTCTTTCAACAAGTACTTATTGAGGGCTTCTAATATGCCAGGCACTGTTCTAGGTGCTATAGATACAGCAGGGAATAAAACAAAGACCTCTGCCCTCAAGGAGTTCATATGCAGCCAACAGCTCATCAGGCAGTGAAAGGTGCTGCTGAGCCCAAGGGTGCAGGGATGGGAGGGGGTGATGTACCTGAAGTGGTCAGGGAAAGTCTCCCTAACAGGGCCATCTGAGCAGAGGCCCGAGGAATGGGGAGCAAAGCACACCATATCTGCGGGGGGAGAGCATCCTCTAAAGAGAAAGGAGGGTGCCCGGCTGACCCCACTCCCACCCAAACCACAATCCACCAACATTTTCTACCTGCAGACATGGCACCAGCCTTCTCCCAGTTGCTCAGGCCTGAAACTGAGCTGTGATCCTTCCTCTCCCTCCTGATTACTCTATCTTCCCATCCTTCTTCCTGGAGAATTGCCTTCCCCATCTCCCTTGTCCTGGAATACTCTCCTCTTACCCTTCAGACTTCTCACTAGAAGTCATTCCCCCAGAGTGAATTTTCTGATCTCCCCATTACATGTAGATCCTACATTACACACTTATTAAACTTACTACACTCTGTACTTCTCCCAGCACTAGTCACAACTATAATTAAATCATTATTTCTGTAATTTAATGTCTGCTCTGCCTCAATAAACTAATCTCCATGAAGGCAAAGACCATATTGATTGTACTCATTTTTGCATCTCTAGTGCCTGAAAAATAGCCGAGTTCAATAAATATTGGAGAAGGAATTAAGCCTTCCTTCTCATGCTTCCGTGTTCTTGCTCAAAGAAAATTTACAGTTGCATTTTTCCATGGCATCATCTATGCCACACAGATTTCCTTCCTAATAAAAAAAAAAGTTAGGAGCTATGAAAAATCCATACATAGATAATGAAGTCCCTAAGTGAGCCATTCAGACCACGTGTCTGCTCAGTTTCATTTCATATTACAGAATCCTACACTAAAAGGGAAGGCAGCAAAGCAGAGCTGCCCACTCACTCCTAAGATCACACAGGTCACTCCTCCAGGAGCAAATTAAAGGGATGTGCTGCTTGTCCACAATTATCAGAATTTTTTTAAATTAAAGATAATGGGAGCCACTTACTCTGTGACAGGAAGTAAAAAGGCAGTGCAGCAAGCACATACCTCCTAATTTAAATGTTAATAGTGGCCACCATTAGCTGCACCCTTCCCAGGTGCCAGGTACCCTGCTAGGTGCTTCACGCACATGACCTCACTTAACTGAACCCAGTCTTTGCAGCCACACCATGATCCAAATGAATAAGTGCTTCAACCCAGGAATAGGAAGCAATACTGTCGGGCCCCAAAACCCCTGCAAAGCATGTCCATTACAACCCATTGTTCTAGTACCAAATGCACCCAGAATGCTGGTACCGAATGGGAAACACACAGCTGCTCTAGTCCAAACTCCCCCAGGCTTATAGGCCCAGAGAGGGGAAGCAACTGGCACAAGATCACACAGCCCATTGGTAGCTAGGTCTGGCCAAAAGCTCTATCCCTGTCAGGCCATCCTTCTGACAGATCAAACCATTCCTCACAGAGGGTCCCTAAAACCCTGAGAATAAGTGTGTCAAGTCAAGCTTTCCTAAGGAACACTGCAATGTTATAAAAAGCCTAAAGTACCATTTAGAGTTGAGCAAAAGCAAAACAGAAGGACTTTATCTCTTCTTTCTTGCAGCTGCCACTGATCTGAGTTCACACAACAAGCCCCTTTGTCTCTGAGCTCCCATGCAGCTCTTCTGAGCGACAGAAGCCCAGGAACACCAAGGTCCTGGGCTCAGGCCAGCCCAAGCTGAGCGAAACAGGCTAAAATACAGGCGGCTTGGACATTCCTTTATCAAACACTCTGGAGGGGCAGAAAGCACAATTTTGCACACATGATCACACTCTGTACCTACAGTGGAGTGAAATCAGGCCTGAGCCATGGAATTCACCTGTGCACCCTGAACAGCACCCTGATTTTTATGATCCCTGTGGCAAATCCTATCACTTGCATCCAACTGAATTTACCATAGAATCCAACCACCTCTTTTTTTCCTCAAATTAGCCAACTACCAGCCAATAGCCTGGTATAATAACACCACTTACCAGAACCACTGGGCCTGCCAGGCTAGACTAAATCAGCAATTACACGCACTTAGTGACAAGAAGTTCTCATGGAGAAGTCCCCAGATGGCTTCATGCTATCCTCAGGGGCCTCAGGCCCCAATACCCTAATACCCTGGAATGGCAATGCCCAAGAGAACTTATGTTCCAACCAGGGGTTCCAAGCCAGT
This sequence comes from Homo sapiens, assembly GCF_000001405.40. Taxonomy (NCBI): domain Eukaryota; kingdom Metazoa; phylum Chordata; class Mammalia; order Primates; family Hominidae; genus Homo; species Homo sapiens. Next base: position 50,507,919 of record NC_000010.11, read on the forward strand.
GGCTCCTCTGGTTACAGTAAGCCTCAGCTTAGTTGGAGACAGGAAGAGAACCATTTAATCCCCCACAACAGATCCCATGAGGGACAATTCATGGGATCTGCTAAAGATGTACCCACTCCCTACTACTGGCCCCAGCAACTCAGCCAGTCTTTGACCACCTCAAGCAATGTATGGGCTCCCCAAAGGTGCTGTGTGACAACAATGCTCTATTTAAAACTACAGTCGTTTATTCTGTGAGTTGTTTTTAAAGTAAAAATCAAATGATAATGTATATAAGAGCACCTCAAACATTTAAAGAGCTAAACAATCCAAGAGTATTCAAAGATTTACCATTTTGGCATGCTAACCACACTTGAGGGCTGAGACTCAGGGGCCATAAGTTTATGGGGTCTCCATGTCCTCATAGTAGGCCACATGGGCTGTAGTGGAAAACCAGCACAGTCAGACATTGACTGAATCCTAGAGCTGCATCCTAGGGCAAGTGACACAAGCTGCTTCAGCTCACGTTTCTCATCAGTTAACTGCGGTTAACATCTCTCTTGGTATGACAGTGAAATATCAAGTGACAAAAAGGAAGTCATGTCAGTCATTAGCCAAAAGCCAGCAATAGATTACTATGGCCCCCTTTCTGATGGGATTTCACTGTGACTAGTCTAGACCGCAGGGAGACCTCTTTAAGTAAAGGATCTCCAACAGCGGAGTTTGTTTGACTCACTGTGGCAGGTGGTTGGAAAGAACCTCTTTGGGGCAGACTTGTGGGTAACTGCCAATTCTCTATACCTTTTGGACCAGGCTCTGACCTAAGGAGAATATAAGAAGTTGTCGGTGAAGTTCTTAAGCCTCTGCCATAAAACCTTGGGCTTTCTGTCTTCCACACTAGACCAAATTCTGCTAACACATTAAGGCTGAATTCAAATGTCATCTCCTATGTAATAGCTTCCTCCTTAGAGATCTCCCCTGTTGCTGAAGTTTAGCTGGCTGTACATGGTTTGGTCCACCCTGATGGATGGTAATTTCCTTAAAAACAGGGCTTGGGGCTCATTTGCCTGTGTAAACTCAGCACCTCATCACAGATGTGGCATCTAGTTAATGATTATTGGTAAGTGCTTGCTCAACTGAGTTGACTACTGAACAGCATTAAATTCAAACCAATTTAGTAAATCCCAGTTTTAAATAAACAAGAAATTTCCTGTTGGGGAAAGACTGTGTAATCTTATACATATTGTTGAGATATCTGTCCCAAAAGGATAGAAGTTATATCCTTCAACCCCACGAATCACAGCCAAGAGTTTGGAATTTAAGCCTTCTTTCAAAATCATATCTTTACTTTGATTTATAAAGGATGTTGATTATCAAGAAACACAGTTTAAGAGCTCTACAGCTTCAAATTTCCAGTTAGAACCCTCCAATTCTTGCTGTAAACATTTGTGAATTGTATTTTAGAGAGTGATTAAATTAGCCATTCCTCCTCCCACCAAATCAAACATGTTGGTTTTTCCAGTAAGACATTTGATAAGCCATTCTAGGAAAATATACATACACATATATATATCACAGTGCATTTGTTATGGCTGAGATTAAAACGGATCTGAAAAGTCAACTCTTCTCTAGTGATGAATATTTTAATGGCAAAGGAATCAGGAGAGGTGATAGAGTGAAATTTGACTGCACATTGTATACTAAACACTATCTCCACTAACGCTAGAATCAGCAGCTTTTGTTTTAACCTTCCAGCAGCATTCTGTTTAACAAAGATCATTAGAGCATCCACCTCTATAGTAATAGCTATTTCCATCACCCAATTAGAAGCCAGAGTACTGAAAGGGCTGCACCTTTGTATTTGAATGAGGCATTCTGTATAACTAATGACTTAACAAATCCTTATCCAAGTAGCTAACAAAATGATCCTTTGATGGTATTTAAGCCAAAGTGCATCATCAATTATTTATTTTTGTTGGTGGTGTTTTTATTTTAAAGTCAGACTTAATAAGGTATAATTTGCATGCAGTAATCCAATCTTTTAAGTGTACAGTTCAATGAGTTTTGACAAACACACACAGTCATGTAATCACCACCACAATCAAGATATAGAACATTTCATTTATCTCAAAAATTTCCCTATGCCCTTTGTAGTCAATCTTCTCCCCCATCACATGCTCCTGGCAGTCATGATCTATTTTCTAACCCTATACTCTTGCCTTTTCCAGAATGTCATTTAAATTGAATCATAAAGTATGGATTCTTTTGAGTTTGGCTCCTTTCACATAACATAATGCGTTTGAGATTCAGCCAAATAGTTGTGTTGTTCTTTCTTATTGATGAACAGTATTCCATTAATAGGCATACCAGTTTGTTTATCCATTCACTAGTTGAAGGACAATTACATTTTTTCCAGTTTTAGCAGTTATGAATAAAGCTGTTAGAAGTATTAGCCTACAGGTTTTTGTGTGAATAGAGGTTTTCAATTCTCTTGGATAAATACTTAAGAGTGAAACTACTCGCTTATATGGTATATGTTTAACTTTGTAAACACCACCTATTTTCCAAAGTGGCTATATCTTCTCAGACTCTCACCAGCAATGTAGGAGAGTTCTAGTTGCTCTGTATCTTTGTCAGTACTTGGTATTATCTGTTTTTGTTTTGTTTGTTTGCTTCTTACTTATTTTAATAGATGTGTAGTGGTATCTCTGTGTTTTTTTTTTACTTTTGATTTTGAAATAACTCTAGACTCACATAGAAGATACAAACATTGTAGAATGTTCCTGTGTATCCTTCACCCAGCTTCTCCCCATATCTTACGTAATAACTATACAATTATCAAAGCACAAACTTGACACTGGGTACAATACTATTACTATTAATAAACTACAGCCCACGTTCAGATTTCACTAGTTTTTACATGTTCTTTGTTGTTTGTTTGGGTTTTTTTACATACAATTCTATAAAACTTTATCTCATATATAGATTTATATAACAATTTCCACAATCGGGATATAAATCTGTTCCATCAAAGCACATTATGTATTGAAAAGACCCTTTTGGGATTATAAACATCATCTGCTGGAAGCACTTTGGTAAATGATGAGGACTTTCTTTTGACCTTTTCCCTTACCACATTAAAAAGCCAATTGTCTATGCTCCAGCTGGTATGTACAAACCACAATTGCCAGAGAAGTTCACTTTTCAGAATGGGTGTTTGTCCTGTTCACTCTTTGTTTATTATATGCCAGACCCAGTAGAGGCAGAGTGGATAAAATAGCAAACAAGAGAACAGTACTTCCTGCCTTTAAAAGAATTTAGAGTGTGAGAAATATTCATTCACTCATTCATACACACACACACACACACACACACACACACACACAGTGACAGACACTATCCATGAATGAAAAGTAAAAAGTGAGATGAAAGGTTAAAACACAATCTGGTTAAGACAGTGAGGAAGGTCCTTGTAAGCAAGCCCCATCCTCAGACTCAGTATTCAAGGCCTTCTGTGGGACCAGGTCATCCAAGTGCCAGAGCCATTGAGTATGAAACACAGAAACCAACAAGTTCTTAAAGCAGAATACAAAGATGCTCAGGGCTTAAGAAATTCACTGAAGACTTCTTAACTTCTCCTTAAGTCAGAGTCCAGCCCAAAAGATATACAGAGTTGGCAATTATCCATGTGATGTTACCTTAGGACACCCATAGGCCTATTTCTGCCTTAAAAGGTTCTTTGCAACCACCTGCCACAGTGAGCCAAACGCTACTACTAGAGATCTTGTAGTTACAGAGGTCTCCCTCTGCTCTAGATGAGTCACAATGAAATCTTATCAGAAAGTGGGGACACAGTAATCCATCACTGGCTTTTGGCTCTGGCATGACCCTCTCCTCTTGTCTGAGGGATCCACACTTATAAAATTCTTCAAGGTAAACTGCCCCTCTTCCCTTCTAACCTGTACATAATTTTGTCATTAATCTCTAATGCTATTTGTCCCATGTCTCTCTCTCCATTCTATACTAATAATCTCAGAAGTCTGACTCATCTCCGTATCTCCTGGCATCTGTACCCTCAGCTCCCACGCACACAGTAGATGTCAATAAACATTCAGTGAATGTTCACATACAAGGTATGATTTCAGATTACAATGTCCATAGTAGGGCTTTGAGGGAGTGGATTGTGAAACAGATGGGTCATAATAGGAAAGATACCAATCAAAGGCATGGGGAAGGCTATCCGGTTCAAGAAGCATACCACAGAGTAGCTGAATATGGCAACAGGGTACTTGGGCACCTGAGAGAGGGCAGACGCAGGACAGAAGGAGATGGTGTGAGGGAGTAGGAAACAAGACTTCTCCATACATGATAGCACTCAGAACCAAGCTAGCACCTGTCAGAGAAAAAAAACCAGACATACCCTGAAGCAGAAAGGAGAGAGAGAAAGGGCTCTCTCTCTGTCTTCATGACTTTGTTTATATGGACATTTGCCAAGAGCAGGGCTATGGGAGACCAGGAGCTCAAAAAGAAGCAAGTATTTGCAACAGCTGCTATGGAAGTCAGCTAGGAAATTAATAAGAAATGAGATCAAGGACGTCAACTCACATACCAGTTCCAAAACCCTCTGGAGTCCCTCTGTGCACAAGGCAATGACCTGGGTTTGCCAGTCCATGAGGGCTGGGTCCTATCCTGCAATGCCTTCTGATCCAGCTATGAGGAAGTTCGCAGGCTGCCCAAGAGTTTATGGGAAAAAAAGACACTGTTCTTGGCCCTGCATTAATTGAGCTTCCACATGTAGAAATGGTTTAGTGATTAGTAAACGCAAGAACTCCCAAATCAAACACTGTTTTACAACATAAATTTAAAACTATCAGAAAATTATTCCAGCTCATATTTCCAAAACCACTGGTTTTTCAGCAGGACTTCCTCTTAACCAGCACCTTGGCCTTTGCCACCTTGCAGTACCCGGGGTAACACATGGACTATGGAAAGGAGATGGGGGACCCTGCAGCCAGCCACACTTACCCACTACAAGTCTTGAAGACAGCTAGCCCTGAGAGCTCCCAGATAGAGGGCTGAAATACACCACAAAATGAAGTAGGGACATCCTTCCACAAGTTTCACTTGTAATTTTTGTAGTATGCCTCATGTGGGTAACAAATGCTACCATTACAATGCTATTTTCCAAAAACACTGAGCTTCTTGGATGCAAGGTGTTAAGTACCAGTAGGTCCCCAGTCACTCAAGTTTCAGTTACACCAATTGCTTATACTCTCTCTGTCCTCACTAAGGTTTCAACCAAGAAGAACCTTGCTTCCTGGTAACACAGTGAACCACAAAGTAAAACAGAAACTGGCAACCGCAAGATGGTTTTCAATGGTCCCTGGGAAAAACAGCGAAGTAGGTAGAAGTGCCCCTTTCAGCTCCAGTTTGGAAAGGTCACCAGACACTGGTGCAGCCCTCTGGCCACCCCAAGGACCAGTTGTAGCTCCCAAACAAGTGCCCCTTCCCCCTAGGAGTCTTTGAGGCTTCAAAACTACCTTCAACACTTCCTCTCCACCCCCATCCCAAGCCAAAACTGCCCTTCCCAACCAGTTTAGCTAGGAAATGGACACTCCCAGGTGTGAATGACACAAAGACTTCTTCTAATCCAGAGACTGAAATAATAGCTCCAGACCAGATAGGATGTTAATATCTCCAAGCCCTCATTCACTCAAAAGCTATTACAATAATGTATCTAAAGATGAGGATAGCACTAAAAATGCATTAAATGCATATTCATCAATTAATAAAATCAGCATTCAGGTTTATATTAAGCTCAAAATTAAGCCATTTAGACCCAGACTGTTTCATAGTATTTATAAACATTTTTTAAAAATATAAGGTACTTTAGCACAAATATTCCTAATGGCTGTTTCACATCAGAAACTAGAACTGGGTTATTCTTCAACAACAGGACACTGCCAGGGACCAGCAGAGACTGTTCACAAAATGACCCCGAAGAAAACGTCACACTTCATGTATTTTCAAACCCATGAAGAATAGTTATGAATCAAAGCTGAGTCTTAAATCTCATTTCAATTCCAACTTTCCTCCTACCAAAGGAAAGGAGGCATATTGTTAAGTTCAAAAGACCCAAACAAGATATCAAAAAGTTGCCTGTGAGCACCAAAAAAAAGATATTTCATATAATTTATCTGCAAATACCAAAAATGCAGTTCATGGCAATTACGCCTGTGCCAACATGTCGTTGTGTTTTGTCATAGGTATTTCTAAATGATGCAGTCTGAATGAAATGTCCATTTTTCCAAACTCATAAAAGGGCGAGGAGAAGAAAAACTAACATTCTGGTGATTGTCTACCTACCATGTATACCAAACCTTGACACGATAAGTCTTTGAGATTGTTAAATATCCCTTAATATCCATTCTCCCTTTCTTCCTTATAACAAAACCGCCAGTTCTTTTAACTGATACCCAGAAAAAGAACCATAGTTCCCGGACTCTTTTGCAGCTAGGAGTGGCTACGTGGCTATGCTCTAACCCAGCAGTGCTAAAAGTCTCATATGGCTCTTATGATTACATAGGGCCCACCTGGACAATTCAGGATGTGCTCCCTATCTCAAGATCCTGAGCTTAATCACATCTATAGTCTTTTGCCATGTAAGGTAATATATTCACAGCTACTGGGAACTAGGTCATGCCACATCTTTGGGGGCCATTAGACCATTATTCTGCTACCACAATATGCTAGATATCATAAACAAAGTTCTTTAAGGTCCTCAATAATTTTTAAAAGTATAGAGGGGTCCTAAAACCAAAATGCTTAAGAACCACTGCTGTAGCATATAAACAGATTAAGGTAGTTATTAGGTGGGGAAAAGCAAAACTCAGCAAAGCTAAGTGATTAACCAAAGTCCTACAGACTATCAGTAGATCTTCAACTTGAACCCAGGCAGTCTGGCTACTGATGAACCTGTTATAGCTCCCTCTGTCCCATGCACCAGTCTCTGAACTCCCAGACTGTGGCAAGGGCCAAAAAAGTTATTCTGTAGGAATTTTTTGCACGCATCAAACAGAAGATACAACAAGCACTCACATATGAATCTGGTGAGCAGGAGGAAGAACAGGTTGGAGAGGAAGGTGATTAAAATAATCCTAACTTTTCAAAACCTTATTTAGAAACAGACTAACTCATTATCTTTTGTGAGAATGGAGCAAAATGTTACAAATGGCCAAGTGTCCCAGTGCCAAGTCAAAGAGAGATGAGTAACCCTGCTCACTGCAGAGGAACACGATTGTGACTAAAGTACTGGAGACACAGGAACACTGCTCTGGGTCATACATCAGAGCCTGGTCACTTGTCTTGACAATGACTGTCAAGCCTCACCTTTTAGCACCCTAACTGACATAAACCTATGAAAGACAGCACTCTTGGGCTGTGTCTCTGCATTGTTTTGATACGACCAGAATCCAACTTCACTGTGGAAAAGAAACAGCACTCAGGTGAATTCTGTTAAAAATCATGCTAATCATGCAACTCATAACCTTCAAAGGGACCCATTTACAGAGAACTGACAAGTTCAAAGGGCCAGTTACTGCTTTGCCAAATCAAGTCCCCGGCCCAGGACAACAGAACTGGAGCAGTGGCAATGAGATGTCTTTCCCTTTGCCTGAGCAGTGTGCCATAGAGCCTGATGGCTCCACTGGCACAGAAGGCTAGGCAAAGCTCACTCAGGAAGCACTGGCCATCCCTGACAAGCATCTCCAGTACTACTCCATCACCTCCCCAGCTCCCCAGGTGAAGCTTCTGGAGTGCTCAGCTTTCCAACCATTTGGAAAGCAAAAACTAGCAGCAGTGACTGAACTGACCGCCAAGAAAAACCCAAGAATACAAGGACACAGTTGGAAGTTACTACCCATTAGAATTTGCTATCAAAGCAAGGAAAAGCTACACAATTTTCTGATATTTTTATTTTTCAAATGAAAGTATAGAGCCAATACCAGGCAATTCCTCAAAGAATCTCTCATCGCAGAGCTCGGCATTTCCTAGAAATGTTTTCAGTGCCTGTCTTTCCTATAATTAGACTAGTATTACAAATATCCTACCTGTAATCTACAAAGCAAAGAGACTGCAAATTAGAGACATGCCTAATGTATTACTTTCATCACAAAATCCACACACACACTTGTCAGATCTGTGTAGCCTCTAAAAACATATGGTTGTCTATTGGTAATTATTCTGCTGCAGAAGGAATAATAATTAAAAAAAAACTGTTAAATCAGCAACCTCACTTGACATCCACTTTGAAATACTTTTTTCATGTGCCAAAGCCCAAGGCAACTTAGCATTCTACAGACCAAAAATTTCATGCTGCTTTCTATGCCTATTAAGGGGATGCAGAATGTAAGAACATGGAGCTTACAGAGATGATGCCTCTAATTCACAACAGCAAACATCAATTTTCTGCATTCCATGTGAAGAAGAAACACATCCACAGGCAGAGACCCACAACTGACTCGTTTATATCTAAGACTCTGCATAGAAAGAAAAATGGCATTGTGACAGAAAATAGATTGGGAGGCATAACAAATTGGTGCTGAATAAGTACTCTGTTCTAATGAGTTATTCCAAGAGTGGTAATTTCAGTTTCCAAGGGAGTAAATATTCAATAGATTAACTACAAAAAGAACCCCGGCAAAAGTGTAAGGATATAGTATGTCATATGTTTAGCTAGCTTTCAAAAAGATCACTCTTGCACTATTTTCTTTATCCTTAGGTGAAATAAAGGAAAGTAATAAATTGATAAAGAGTACTTAGAGACAACTGATTTTTAAAAATCATTTGAGCATTCCTAATTCAGGAATTCTGGTGGATTAGATATTTGCAAGGCCCTTCTGCTATACTATAATTAGAGTCTGAATAAATTACATTTAAAAATACTTTTTAATGCATTGGTTAGCTCCAGGTAGAGAAACAAATCCCGTGAGAATATAGTGGGAACATCTACTGTTCCTGAGCAAAGAACACTCAGGATTGGGCAAAAAAGAAAGTTGGAGTTGCCCTGGAGGTAACTATGAATACCAGCAATGGGGTGGGGCAACTAGACATCCAAGTTTCAGCATGGTGGAGAAAGCCCAGCTTTAAACCAAAGGGAATAGGTATTCAAAGGGAAGAGAAGTGGTCCTGGGTCTGTAGCATCCTCCTGGCTCCTAGCACAAACAAAATCTCAAGAAGTAATACTTCAAGATTCCAAGACATAATTATCAAGCAAATATTAGCATGTAATCCATACTCACCCTGCACACTAGGAAAGAAGCCCAAAACCATTTAGACCACCAAGGATTTCAGATACTGGCAATATCAAATATAGGATATGAAATAACTGTTTAATGATGAGGCCAAAAAATGAGCAAGCAAAATGAAACCATCAAAAAATACTCAGGCAGATTTAAGACAGAAATAAAGATTTTAGAAATTTAAAAAACATACCCATTTGAATTAAAAAGTCAATGGATAGGCTAAACAGAAGAGCCAACACAGCTAAAGAGAGAAGTATTGAACTAAAAGCTAAATCTTAAATTACAGAATAAAGCAGGGAAAAACAAGAAAGAAAATACTGAACAGAAATTAAGAGACATAAAGGATAAAAAGAGAAGTTCTAACCTCCATTTAATCAAAACCAGAAGATGACAGAGAGAATGAAGAAAAGGCAGCATTCAAGCATTGAGAGCTGAAAAATGTTTAGGGTGGATAAATGAAATAAATGGATAGATACATGAAATACGAAAAATATAAACAGAATTCTTAAAAGAAAGCTCTAAATAGACACATTGTAATGAAACTGCTGAACACCAAAGACAAATAAACAAACTTAGAGTAAGTCAAATCATCTACTAAAAAAAATAGCAAATGAAAGATAAACAGATGTCCTGACGGCAAAAATGAAAGCTATGGACAATGGAACAGTATGTTCACAACACTGGGAAAAAAAATAACTATCAACTAAGAGCTGTAAGAGTGAAATAAAGACATTTCAGAAACCAAAATTGAGAGAAGTTACCACCAAAAGATTCTCAGGAAAAGAAAAAATTCTGAAGAAGCTAAATCTCATCAGGGGAAACGTAAGGATAGAAGAAAGGAAGAGGAATAAGAAATGATAAGCATGTACAGTTAAACAAATACCATCTCTATACAATAAAATTGACTAATTTGTATGGTGAAACAAATAATAAAACAGATATGCTGAAAAGAACATCTATGTACAGAAGGAGGGAGTCTTCATTAGGTATACTATGAGTTTTGTATTATTCCAGAAGGGGATTAGAATACCTTAAATACTGACTGACTTTAAAACTTCTATGTGTGCACAGTATATTTTCAGGATAATCATTAGAAGAACAGAAATACAAGTTATAATTTCCAAATCAGCAGAGAAAGAAAAATTGAATAAGAATATAAACCAACAAGAAGTTCAACTCAAAAGAAAAGGAAAAACAAAGATTAGCAATAAAAATGTTTTTAGTTTGTTTGTTTGTTTGTTTTTGAGATGGTGTTTCGCTCTTGTTGCCCAGGCTGGAGTGCAATGGCATGATCTTGGCTCATTGCAACCTCCGCCTCCTGGGTTCAAGTGATTCTCGTGCTTCAGCCTCCCTAGTAGCTGAGATTACAGGCACGTGCCACCATTCCCGGCTAATTTTTATATTTTTAGTAAAGACACCATGTTGGCCAGGCTGGTCTAGAACTCCTGACCTTAGGTGATCTGCCTGCCTCAGCCTCCCAAAGTTCTGGGATTACAGGCATGAGCCATCGCACCCCGCCACAATGAAAATATTTGTGCCATATAAACAGTTTCAAAATTTTTAGACTATCTTTCAAAAAACAAAGAAGAAACAAGTTTCATTCACTATACAAGAAGAGACTGAAATTTTTGTCTAAATTAAAAGTATGCACTCTGTTCTCCAAAGGATATCAAAGATGTTCAATTGCACTATTAATCAGGAAAATGCAAATAAAGATGACAATGATATACTATTTTAAACCCACTAGCGGGGCAACAAAATACCAAAGATTGGAGGGAAGGGAGACAACAGATAAACTGTGATCAATTCTCACCATAGAATTTAACTTAACCAGAAAAATTAATTTACTACCGTTACATGCAACAAGTAAATCTTACAACATAACAGGGCAAAAAAAAATGCAAGCTGCAGAACACTACATGCAATATACTATTCTGTTCAAGCTTAAAATTAAAGCTAAGCAATATATTGTTTGGAGATTATATATACAGACATAGTAATCAACATATACACAGACACAGAAATAGAACATAGAAACAGACATAGAATCAACGATAACACTAGAGACACTGTTTCGTTCATCTAACTTTTACGTTCTAGGTCAAGCTCTTTATTTCATCTCAGGTTAGCACTCTGAGCAGCACTGGACTTACCTGTTCAACTCCAGAGAAGAAGGCAGACCTGGTAACCGTGATCTTCCAGGACGAAAGCCTCCATCAAAAGCAATTCCAGATTAAGGGAAAAGGCATGCCCCCAACTAACATTATCCTAGAACCTTTCCTACCTGGTTTATGTGACTTCAAATTCAGCAGCATCCTTTTCTGTCATTTCCAGAGACTCAGGCTGACACTCTTTCCTGTGGCCTTTGCTTTATGCATTTCTACCACCCCGGCCCAGATTGCTTGCCTTCTCCAGTGGGGGAGCTGGCCTCTTTAAGTGTGTTTCCTACTTTTTCCAAACCACACAGGCCTTTTGTTGGCTAATTTTGCCCTTGGGCACCACAAAGGCCTGGAAGATCCCCTTATGCCATCAGAGCCTCACATACAATCTCAGAACAAAGCAAGAGTGATTACAAGGAACTTCAGAACCATGAGTTCTTTGAGAATGGGTGAAATGCTGATTCTGACTTACCTGTATTTTATTACACACCCTCTGCTGTGTTCCAACTTTACTGTTCTTGAAATTCAAAAAGTCCACACTCCTTCAGTCGCTGAAGCTTTACCTGGAATAATAAGGGCAGAAAATGAGGAAGGAAGCAACCAGAAGGAACAAAAGGGCCCACTTGGAAAAGCAACTCTCTCATATAATCAAATCAATTAAAAACTTGATTTGTGAGAGAAATAAGGGCCACCTGGATTAAGGAAACTCTACCTCAGTCTAAGCCATTTTAACTAAAACTATTAACAGGGGCAGGGCACAGTGGCTCACACCTGTAATCTCAGCACTTTGGGAGGCTGAGGTGGGAGGATCACTTGAGCCCAGGAGTTTGAGACCAGCCTGGGCAATATAGCAAGACCTTTTCTCTACAAATAATTTTTAAAATAGCCAGATATGGTGGTATTTACCTGTGGTACCAGCTACTCGGTAGGCTCAGGTAAAAGGATCACTTAAGAATGGGAGGTGGAGGCTGCAGTGCGCCGTGATTGCACTCTAGCCTGGGCAACACAGCAAGACCCCATCTCAAAAAAAAAACTATTAATGTCTTATTAACAGTAACTTAATATTTGCAGAAGAAATCATTATTATTTACAAAGAGCTTTCACATGCATTTTCTCATTGGAGCCATAAGATCTTGAGAACAGACTAGCACCATTTTAAAATGCAGCAGCTGAAATTCCCAAAGGTTGGGGAACTTTCCCCCAATCACTCAGCCAGCAAGTGTCAAAGAAGAAATCAGTGCCCAGCTCTACCAACCCTTGCTCCAAACTCTTCCATGACACCATATAACAAAATAGTTTCAACTTGAACAGCAATATTTATTCTTTCTTCCTGCATAGATACTCATAGATACGCCAACAGAGATAGAATGGCTTTGCATGCTAAGTGACTGACACTGCGATAGGATTAATGTATTTAGCACAGACAACCCAAAGGGTAGAAAATCCACACAAAGGTAGTTAAGAAACACCTTATCTTTTCTGCATACTCTACTTTTCTCTTTAAATCATAGTTATACTTGCTGGGATTTTTTGTTTTATTTTCTTTTTTTTTTTCTTTGAGACAGAGTCTCAGGCTGAGTGCAGTGGCATAATCATGGCTCACTGCAGCCCATGGGCTGAAGCAATCCTCCCACCTCAGCCTCCCAAACAGCTAGGCCTTCTGGTGCATGCCACCATGCCCAGTTGATTTTTTTTTTAGTAGAGATGGGGTCTTGCTATGTGCTGGGTCTCGAAATCTTGGACTCAAGTGATCTTCCCACCTCAGCCTTCCAAAGTGCTGGGATTACAGGTATGAACTACCATAACTGGCCTTTAAATTTTTGTATTTGGAAATAATTTCAAGCTTACAGAAGAGTTGTAGAATAATAATAGTACAAAAGTATCCAGGTACTTTTTACCCAGATTCACTTATTATCAACATTTATTTAACCATTCACTCACTGTCCATTCATTCATTTGACTTTTTTTCTGAGCCTTAAGGAGATAAGTGCAATACAACACAGCATTTTACCTCTAAATACTTCAGAATTTATTTCCTAAGAATAAGAATATTCTCTTACATAACCACAATATAGCTATCAGCCTTAGTAAATTTAAAAGTTATATAATAGTTTAATCTACTGCCATATTCAGTTAACCTAATAATGTCCTTTATAGTATTTCTCTTTCCTCCAATTCAGATCCAGTCCAGGGTCAGATACTGCATTTAGCTGCCATTACTTTTCAGCTTCCTTTCACCTGAACCACACCAGCTTTCCTTTGTCTTTTATGATACTGACACTTTAGAAGAATATAGCCTCTCCCCCTTTTTATATTAATAGAACATCTCTATTTTGACTTTCATGACATTTCCTCAGGTGATTCCTGAGGATTCAGTTCAGAATAATCGTGTAGTTTTCTGCATTCTCAGAAAACTACAAAAGTGATATTTTCTTCTCTGGATATCACATCTAAAGGCACAAAAAGTCTATCTGCCCCAGCTTGGTTATGCTAATTTTGATCACCCAGCCAAGGTGTTGTCCAACTTTTCCAATGAAAAATTACTACTTTTTCCCTTGCAGCTAACAAGTAATCTGTGGGAAGACACTTTAAGACCATGTAAATATCTTGTCCCTCATCAAAATTTCCCCCTAGATTTAGTATCCATTAGTGATGTCTGCCTGATAAAAACTTTATACTGTGATGGCTGCAACATGCTGACTTTTCCAACTCCAGCAATCCCTCCATATTACCATTCATTACTCAGCATTATACATTGTTTACCAATATATCTATTTATGATCACCTGAGATACATGAAGTCCTATTTTTTCAGTGACTTATAATTTATCCTTGTACTTAAGTATTTTGGTGCTCCAGCTGTCTCAGACTTAGCCAGTGGGAAGCCCTTCAAGCTGGCTCCTTTATCCCTGTGACATACTCCATCTTTTAAAAATATTTTCTTACTTTTATTCCCTTACTTTCTGATATTAAAAAAAAAATGTTATGGGCTCATCTTGTATCTACCCTGTCTCTAACCTGGATCCTGTCAATTCTCCAAAAAGCACTGGTTCCTTTCCAAGGAGAATGCTGTTAGAGACCAAAATCTGGTATTACCCACTTTTATAGTCATTGTTCATACCTATTGATTATTATTTTGAATATGAGTCACAATCCCCTGTTACTTTGCATGCTTCTTTCCATTATAAGGTAAACAATTGGAGGGTGTTCAGTTTGGCTCTGGTGGCAGCTAAATTACTGGTGGGTCCTCTTGATCCTGCCAAGCTTCATTTTACACTTGGTTAAGATGAGTCTATTTCACTTATGTCCTTAGTCCAAGCTTATGGCCCTTACTGTAAGGTATGGATGGTCTTTATTCCTAGGATGTGATGTCTCAACAGAATGGCTATGTGATGTCTCGGTAGAATGGCTAAGGTATTCAGCAAGGTCTCTTCACCTTGGCTAGGCCAGAAACCCAATCTTTCTCAGTAATACATGACCTCTGGTACCGCCATTCTGTTCTTAGCCTAGTAGCAGCTGCTCTCTGCAGGGCCTCACCCCTCAAGTAGCTCCCTCCTCTCCAGTACCCTGCCATACAAATCTCAGCCACTTCAGCAGCCTTAAACTCCAGTCTCTGCTTTCTCAATGCTATGAGACCACCATGCTCTGCTAGGGTTCACCTCCCTATATCACAGCGGGGAAAGTGTTCAAGCAGGAAACCAGGGCAAATGTGAGTCCCCCTCTTGTGATTCTCTTCTCTCAAGGATCACAGTTCCGGATGCCTGCTGTTCACTGCCTGAAAACCACAGCCTCATAGATAGTAGTCCTTTTTTCTAGTTGTTTACCTTAGGAGGCAAGACCAGCACCCATTACTTCTCTCTTTTTCTCTTTATGCCTTTAATAGTAAATGATGATTGAGGAAGACAGGTCTGCTCTACTGGGAAGGGTTAAGACTCAAATACTTTCAATGTATAATAAATGCTCTTTACTTAAAGATTTCAAAGAAACTCACTTTCTAACAATCTGTTTCTTACAAATGTATGTGCTTACCTTAAGCACAACACTGTAGCAAGAAAAATGTTCTCTATTAGTGGGGCAATTGCAAACAAATGACAAGGAAATGTCCCTGTTTCTTCCAAAAAGCTCACTTCAGATAGCCAGCTGGCTATCACCCTAACATGCATTTACATTTATTTCCATAACTCTTCCTCCTACTGGCATAACAAAACAGTAGAGCCTACCCTAAGTAATGAAAGTTAGTTGCTCTTCTTAATTTCTCTTGTTTATGTGCATATTCTTAGGGATGGAGAAAAGAATCCTTTTCATATAAATCATTTTCTGGTGTATTTCCATGTCTACTTATAACCACTGTTGAGAAAATAATTAGAAAATAAACAGTCAAAAATAAAACTTGCAACCCCAGATACAAAGCTAATCAATATTAGCAAAGAAGAATAATATTTTATCAAATACTGTGAGAAAAGATGATTTTGTAATCACAGGAAAATGGAGAACAAGTCTTTCCCTGCACAAGCCAGTAGATTTGTGCTCAAGGCACACGTGTGCACATGCGCACACACACACGCAGCATTCCAAACACAGTTTGCAGACTGAAATGTGGGACACCCTCTTGCTACTTCTTGGGCAGAATTTCTTCATATTAGAAATCCACATTTCAGCTCATCTAATTCATTTTCTCAAAAGGAATCAATGCATGACAAGTTATACCTTTCTTTGGTTCTACTTCAGGTCCCCTAGATCTTAAAAGTGAGCATCTGATGTAAACAAAATGCTTTATTGTCCTTTTGTACCCCTCACTGTCCAGGCATTCCTAATATTCTTGGGGCTCTTAGAACAGTCTTTTCACAGATCACAATGTCTCCTGTAGATCTTGTTGAATTCTGTTTCCTCAAGTCTGCATGTGTCCAGCACCCTAATGAGGTACAAATTCTTCTGTGCAACCCATTTCCCAGAAATGCAGTCTGAGCCTCTGGGCTTGATAAAACAAGACCTCCATGAACTGCTCCCAGTCCCCCTTACCATTTCGTCTCCTAACACTTTATGCTCCATCACTAGTGAAAAACTTGTAGCTATTCCCCTTCATGAAATACCCTTTTCCTCCTTTCTTCTCTTGACTGTGAAAATTTTTTCATGCTAACCATTCAAAGCTGGGTTAGTGCCCCAGCCCTATGCTCACCTTTATAATAAATAAACTTCACTGAGTGCTTTTGATATGCTAAGCATGGATGGGCACTTAACATGTATGATCTTATTTAGTGCTACTACTAAGTCTGTAAAGTAGGTGATATTTATTATTATCAGCCCATTTACAGATGAGCAAACATGAAGAAAGACTACACAGCGTCCCAATGTCACGCAGCTGGGGAGTGCTGGAGCCACAGAGCTCATAGGCTTTTCATTACAAACAGCATGAAACATAGTTAGTTGAAAAATTAACAGCATAATAGGTACTTCCAGGCAAAAGGCCCAGAATGTCAATGGTGACCCTATGACAACACTGAAAGGGTAAAAATAAGATGAGAGTAACTCATCAGAATCCTTCAGAAGAGGGTGCAAAAAGAGACCTATAAACTAACATCAACGATATGCCCATAATAAAGACCAAAATATTTTACCAAGACAGGGTGATCAGCAATTTCTAAGAATCAAGTAATATACACATGGCTCAAGCAAAATAATGTTTAAAAGAAGCGGTGGAAATAGGAAAGAATTTTCTTACTAGGGATTAGAGAAAAAGCATTAAATCAAAGATTAAGAAGAGCTCTCAGAGGAAAGAATCTGGAATATTTGAATAATTAAATCAATTCCATCCTCAAGAAGTTCTTATACTGGGTAACAAATAGCATCCTCTATTGGAGTTACATGTTGGCTCCTACACAAATTGAATGAGTGAAGATTAGTGAATAGGAAAAATTCTGTTGTACCCCATCTAAGCCCTGTGTGCCGCAGATCCAATATGCCCGTTTCTGGCTCTAGATTGTGAAGGTGGGTGTAAAGGAGGCATGAACAGGAATGCTGATGATGTGCTCCTTCCAAATGCCACCCAGACAGCCTCATGAAGAGCAAGGCAGAGAGGATCAATATTTCAGTACAGGCATCACTCAAGCAGGTTACCCTTCTTCACTGGTAGAGACCAAGATGCTTGGTCTCTTGGACCTTGACTGGAAGATGTTAACCTCACTTCAAAATAAAAATCAAGCAAAGTCAAAGTTATCAATGCTGGGCTCTACACTTCTTGGGAAAATTGAAAAACAGAAAAGAATCAAAAGTAGAAAAGTAAAAATCACTGAAACATAATTTGAGGTACGAAATTCCCAGAGAAAGTTTTGTCTAGGGAAAACAAGGGAGACTCTACCACTTACCATCATTTTAAGCACTACTCTGCTATGAGCAATGGATAGCATTTTTCCATTTCCACCAAAGACAGAGCAGTGAAAACAACTTTAGCCTAAAGCATAAGAATTTCAGCTTTAAGACAATGACTTTCTCCAAAGCAAGACATTTTAACTAAGGAGTCTATAGTTTGTACACCCATGACAAAGGTTGCTATGTTAATTATTAAAACGTAGAACTCTCAAATTGGTATTCCTGTAGAATATGTGATTTTTGCCTCAGAAGTTGCGATAATAATCAATAATACAACCATTTATTGAGTGCTTCGCTACAGGCCAAAAGTCACTCAGGGAGGCCTGAGGGGAAGCCCAGCTCTGCTAGTGCTGTGGGATTCACGTGTGTATTAGTCTGTTCTCAAAGTGCTAAGAAAACTACCTGAGACTAGGTAATTTATGAAGAAAAGAGGTTTAACTGACTCACAGTTCCACAAGCTTAACAGGAAGCATGACTGGAAGGCCTCAGGAAACTTACAATCACGGCAGAAGGCGAAAGGGAAGCAAGCACCTTCTTCTAATGGCAGCAGGAGGGGGTGGTCGGTGGGGGAAGTGCCACACTTTTCAAACCATCAGATGTCATGAGAACTCACTATCATGAGAACAGCATGGGGGATATCTGCCCCCATGATCCAATCATCTCCCACCAGGTCCCTCCCCTGACACATGGGGATTACAAATCAACACGAGATTTGGGTGTGGACACAGAGCTAAACCATACAGACACACAATCTCCCTGTTTCAATGCACAACCTCTTGACTACAGGGATAAGACCAATGCAAATTAAACTTACACTTACAAAATAGGATAATAACTGCTTTATGAGGTTTGAGAAAGGATTCAGTTTAGTTAATCTTATTTACCCTGTGCCTATCATGTAGCAAGCACTTCATAAATGTTAGCTATTATTACTGCCAAATAATTTTAACTTTACTTGGGTCAACTTCTTCCTGTTATTCAATCCCTGATTCTGTTAAAGGCAAGAGAGGGTGTTTAGGTCAATGAGAGTAATATAACTTCAAGATGAAAAAGAACTGGCTGGCCGGGCACGGTGGCTCACGCCTGTAATCATAGCACTCTGGGAGGCCATGGCAGGTGGATCACGAGGTCAAGAGATCGAGACCATCCTGGCCAACATGGTGAAACCCTGTCTCTACTAAAAATACAAAAATTAGCTGGGCATGGTGGCATGTGCCTGTAGTCCCAGCTACTTGGGAGGCTGAGGCAGGAGAATCGCTTGAACCTGTGAGGTGGAGGTTGCAGTGAGCCGAGATATCGCCACTGCACTCCAGCTGGGTGACAGAGTGAGACTCTGTCTCAAAAAAAAAAAAAAAAAAAAAAAAAAGAAAGAAAGAAAAGAAAAAGAACTGGCCATGTATTCAACCATGCAGCTCATCCACAGCCATCCACTCCGTAAGTAGACATTGACGGTGTGCCCATCAAGCATGGAGCAGTGGGGTAGGCCTCTGTGGGGAAAGTCAAAATGAAAATGGTGCAGCCCATAGCATTGCTCAAAGGACATCATCACCTTATTGTTAATCACCAACACTTGTGGAATATTCCCCATATGCCAGGCAGTGCTGCAAGCAACATGTGTGTATGTGTTCATGCACACACTTGTAAACATATATATTTACTCTTTTAAACCTCAAGACAACCCTTTAAAGTATTACTTATTATCCCTAATTTACAGATGAGAAACTGAGGCACAGAGAGAAAATATAACTTGCTCTCGGTTGCACAGCCTGTAATTGGCAGAGCTGAGATTCAGCTCCTGGCTATCTAGTTTCAGAGTCTTAGGCACCTAGCCACTTGATACGCTGCCTCTCCCTAGACGTGTCCGCTAAGAACTAGAGTGAGAACAGACTATGATAAGGGCCCAGTAGGAACATAAATAAAGTGTGGCGTTTGTGGGTTACTTGTGCTATCTTGACACATAACAGGAAGAAGAAAAGGCCTTTAACTACAAAATGATGTGTTTAAGCACTCCGTAGCAACCCAGACTGAAAGTCATCCAAAAAACACTTGTGTCTGTCACCTTGAAGAGCCATCTTCTCAGTTATTTAACACATGCTGCAGGGAAAGAAGAGGGCTAAGAATATGGGCTTAGAAGTCAGACATGCCTGGATTTGATTGGCAGGTCCTCCAACGGCAGCTCTGTGGTCTTCAACAAATAAATTACTTGACCTCTCTCTTCAATATCCTCATATTAAGGATTAAATGAGAAAATTTATGAAAGAGTTTAGTTGTAGGACATGGCTCTAAGTACTAAATAAATAAAATAATAAAAATACTAAATAAATAAATTGTTGCTGCTATTTTGCTTCAAGATTCATTCCTAAGTAATATTTAAGAGTACCAAGTACACAATATCAGTCTATAAACCAAAAAGTATGCAACTTACAGGATTTGAAATACATTGTGGATTCATTTATGATATCAATAAGTATGAATTATTAGAGCCCAAAAAGTATGATAAATCTGTGTTTCAAAATGCTAGAGAATAAAAAATTCTTTCATCTTATGAGGTAAGAGCAGCTGTGTATTGAGGGACGACTCTGTCCTCAGTCCTGTAACAGGTACAACACAGATTTTACTCAATCTTCAAAAACCACTCGGGGGTTTGTCAAATGGTACTGATTTTACATATGAGGATTCTGAGCCTCTCAGAGGTTAAATGATTGACTCCAGGTCACACTATCAATACACAGCAGGGACTATTCTTAAAACCAAAAGACTTACCAGTGAGGCAGTCAGAAACATAGCCATTCCACAAAGCATTTCCTTGGCACCAATCAGAATTTCATCAAGAAACATTCCAATATTATCAATGTCTAAATCCCCACTGCACATATTGTGCTTTAAAGAAGCCTAGGCTGGGTGGTAGCTCACACCTGTAATCCCAGCACTTTGGGAAGCCAAGGTGAAAGGATCGCTTGAGTCCAGGAGCCCTAGAACAGCCTGGGCAAAATAGGGAGACCTCTGTTTCTACAAAAAAATAAAACCTAGTCAGGCTGAGGTGAGAGAATAGCTTGAGCCCAGGAGGCTGAGGCTGCAATGAGCCATGATTGCAACAGAGCAAGACCCTTCTTCCAAAAAGAGAAGAAGAAGCCTAAATCACTGACTGGGAGGTTGTGATATGCCACTGGTCAAAGTGACATACTACTAGAAATCTCATTCCATCATCCAGTTCAGTCAGAATGTCCCTTGGAAACACTGTCAGAGATGGGCAATTTACAAATTGCTATAGCTATTCAAAAGTGACTATATTTCCACAGCAATACATTGGTTCCTACAGCTGGAACATGGGGAAAACAAAGGAACATCAATGGCATTAGACAGGGTATGTGTATGTGTTTCAGGTAGGTGTGGATACAGCAGGAAAAGATAAAGCCAAAGATCCATTTCTGATTTTGTTAATAGCAGAACATGCTTACCACCAATATTCGAATCAATTACTTGTAAACATTTTTGTTTATGGTTTTCTATGTGTCACCTGTCCTTAAGAAAAAAGAAGGCAGCAAGAAAGTTCACTATGTAAATTCTAAGACTCAACTCTGCCTCTAATACTTCCAGACTGTAATTGCCATCCCTGAAACGGCAAAGTCCATATTTTGGAGACCACTGTATCCTTACCACAATACAATGCTAGGTAAACTTAGGCCTTCAATAAACATGGATGGATGTTCACACTCAGCCATACTACAAAATGTAGAGGAAAAAGGTGTGAGGGGCTGCCCGAGGAGGATTACTTATTATTAAACTGCTCTTTGAAACTTAATAGTCAGAAAACGTGGAATTACAGGAGGTTCGATTTTCTGAACTTTTTTTGAATGAGTACATCTTACACTTTGGGGGTGAAAAATGCCTCCCTATTCCCTTTGACTATTCAAAATATTTGCCAATATTATTAAATACTTACAGGTCTAAAAATGCCATCTAATCGACTATTTCAGAAATATGAATCATATATGCAAAAATTTATCGTAGCATTGTGCTTGACACAGCAGAAATAAAGAAGAACAAGGCTGGGCCAACAATGGTTGAATGGAGGGACAGACTCTAAACAATTAATTACTATACCGTACCATACAATTGGTGCTTTTGGCAAAGGAGAACCATGTACTGGAGGACCCAGAGGAGGGATGACTAACACTGCTTACATAAAAAATCCCACACCATAAAAGAGGAGTTTTCTTTCCTCCAATATTCTTTGCAATTTCCTCGTCCAATCTTCACTATTTCCTTTAAAGTGAAAAAGCAGCACAGGCCCTCTGTATACTAAATACTCCTAAATAGCCACCGTCTTTCTCAATCATCATCCCATCTCCTGAAAACCTGCACATTGCCTAAAATAAGAAGTTTCCACAAACTAATGATCAGCCACCCTGTTAACACATAACTTAATTATTTTAGATGAGCTTCATCAGAATTTTTTTGGCCCTAGTGTTTCCTCCAAAATTCCTGGCCTTCTTATAGTCAATTAAACTGTATGTGCTTTTCTGTCCAAAAATCTTAAAGACACAGCCAAATGGATATTTTTCTAAAATTTTCTAACACCATCATTAGCAGCTCATTTCATTACATGATTAAAAATTAACTTGATAATGCTGTCAGTGTGACTGAACATTAAAATTATTTCTAAATTTCTAATGGGACAGAAAGGGAAATGGGCAAGCCACATAATTCTAATCAAGGGAAAACATATAAAAGGGCTTTCCACCGAAGTACTGAGAAGCAGAATCTTCTTTTTTTAGAGACAGGGTCTCACTGTGTCGCCCAGGCTTGAGTGCAGTTAGCGCAATTATAGCTCACTGTAGACTTGAATTCCTGGGCTCCAAGCGATCCTCCCGCCTCAGCCTCCCAAGTAGCTAAGACTACACGTATGTGCCACCACATCTGGCTAATTTTTTTTTTTTCTGTGCTGACAGGGTCTTGCTGTGTTACCCAAGCTGGTCTCAAACTCCTGGCCTCAAGCAATGCTCCCGCCTCGGCCTCTCGAAGCACTGGGATTGCAGGCATGAACCACTGCGTCCTCTTTTTTAACAATAGTTTATATAATACATGCAAATGCAGTGTGGTTTCTTCTATTTTCACTAAAAATCTATGAGGATAATACTAAAGTGTGCCTTAGGGAAAAGGATACCTGAAGGGGAGGCACTGAAAATGTAGAAATAAACACCTTTTTCTTATTTCAAGTTAAAAAGTACTAGATAAGATGACTGAAAACATATTGAGCAGGGAGGTTTCACAAACAGGATGGTCCCTAACACAGGACCTTCTAGGAAAACCATTTGGATGTGGTCTTTTATACAGGACAATCCC
Source organism: Homo sapiens (assembly GCF_000001405.40). Lineage (NCBI taxonomy): Eukaryota > Metazoa > Chordata > Mammalia > Primates > Hominidae > Homo > Homo sapiens. The sequence goes on from NC_000010.11 coordinate 50,531,070, forward strand.
AGAAAAAAAAACAGAAATAAAAGATTTTCTGAAAATTCAACAACTACTTCACTATTCAGAAAGTCGTCACCTCACTTAGCTAGGGCAGGCACCATTTATACCTCAGTGCCACCACCTGATTGATCTGAAGCTTGTTATCAGTGAAAATCTTGCTATCACCCATGTGTGCTCATGGGTTTCATATTTTAAATGGAACATACATGTGTAGACTACCTGTTAGTACCTTACTCTCTGCTCAACTTTTACTTTCCTTAATAGTAAAAAGCTATTCTATCTGTTCGAGGAAGTGCCATACATGTTTACTTATTTTTTTTTTTATAAATTCCCTTACCTTTATTCATCCTATTCATTTCAAAGTGACTTAGAGCATACTGTTCAATAAACGTGATACACGTGTTTGGTACATAATCACCCACAAGCTGGTACTCTGCAGGTCTGTTAGCATGGTTAGTACTGAACCAGAGGTAAGAGCTAGTCACTGCACTACACACGTGACAAAAGTCTTCTTGAATCCCCACAGTGTCACTCAAACTAGGGCTTGGCTCTTTATCTGCCCACTCCACCACCTGCCCTACAAAGGGGTTGGATCCACTTATCCTACCCAACGGTCTGAACTTCTTCCTCCTCTCTGCTGCGGCAAGTTGCCCACCTTCCCTACCTGCCCACTGCCTGAATGTGTGCTTGGAAGGTATACTACATATACCAGTACCACCATCTCCACCTACTAAAAATTTGGGATATGCCAGATAGCTTTAATCCAAGCAATAGCATGATAAGGTAGGCACTAATCTCATCTTACAGATAAAGAGACTTACAGATAAAGTTCAGAGAGAATGGTCAGTAACCAGCATGCAAGTGGTCAAGCCAGGATTGCAACCCAGATTCTGAGACCAAATTCTGGCTTGGGACTGAATTATTTACATTCATATGCACACAGAAGGCCCTTGAATAACACTGTTTAATTCAACTTTGTTTTGTTATAACACTGATGAGAAGAAAAATTGGTTCCTGGTCAGGGTCACCATCCGTGTGGAGTCCGCAAGTTCTTCCCATGTCTGCATGGGTTTTCTCAGGTACTCTGGTTTCTTATTCAGTTCCCAGAGATATGTCCCTTAGGTTCCTTGGCATGTCTCCACGGTCCCAGTCTGAATGAGACTGTGTGTGTGTGTGTGTGTGTGTGTGTGTGTGTGTGTGTGTGTGTGTGTCCTGTGATGGGATGGTGTCCTGTCCACAATGGGTTCCCACCTTATGCCCTGAGATGCTAGGATAAGCTCTCTCATCCAAGACCCTGAACTAGAATAACTGGATAAATAATTATCTTACTTGTTTGCATCAATTTTTCTTAAGTATAAGTATAGCTCATATCCATCTCAATTTTTAATATTAGAAGTGTTTTGGTCCTTATTTAGAAGTTTGGTGGTGTTTTTGTCATCAGAAATATGCCATAGGAACTTAACTCTTGTTTATATCAATTAGCCCATGAGAAAACTGGTTTCTTAACATGTTGTTTCTCTTAAGAATGACAGTTTCCAAGAACCTATCGATGACATTAAGTGAGGACTTACTGTTGTTAACCTTGCATCAAGTCAAATTATTTTTCTTAAAGCCCTAAAATTGCTAAAAGACTTTGGTTTATGAGTTGCCTATACAATCCTCCGCAAAATTCATGATTTGGAAGGTAGTTTTTAGGTCTTTAGCCGTAGGCTAAAGTGGTCCATCTTTTTTTATTGCTACATGGATCAGGTTTGGATTTCCCAGACTTTCTGTGACTGCAGAATAGACTGATAGCTGATTTCTTTGAATGTGTGATTACTTCAATTCACGTAAGCAATCCACCAAGTGCAGTTACTCGGTACCAAGTGCTGAGTTAGGTGCCAGGAACAGTAATAGTAAGGCATGAATTCTAAGAGCTCTGAGTCTGGTGGGGCATACACAACAAACTCACAAATAAATGAGACAGGTACCGCATAAATCCAAAGGATGAGATATTGATCTTCATGAAAAAAAATGCTGAGCTAATGTAGAGTAAACATAGAATATTTTTAAATACTCTTCTATTTTGAGTGGACTAATGTTTCCATATAACTTTTCTAAAAACAGAAACACTATTATACAAGTATTGCAATCTCACCGAAATCTTTGACAAAGATGATGAAAAATAAGTAGAGAGAGCTTTTTCCCCAAGAAATTCTTTTATTTTAGGTTTACTTTTTTTGTTTTAATTGTGATGGAACTGGCAAAGGTCAGGATTAAAGGGTTTTTTTCCCCTTAATTCAAAATACTGTTAAGATGAATTTTTCTTTTTTGACTTTAATATAACAGTCCTTCCTTTGTTCTGGTTTTCAGCACAGTGAATCAAAAGCACTCATGAATATTGGTAAGTTGAGAAATACAGCTTGAAACTCTGAAAGATCAGTGAACAAATGTTTGGTAATCAGATCAGCTTTAACATAGGAACTTGAAAATAAGAAATAGGAAGTTTCAGACCTTCTTTCTCTAACATTATTTGAATCATCAATTGTTTACATACGATGTTTTGCTTTATCTCTTCAGAACCTTTTAAAGGTTATTTGTAAGTGAACACACACATTTTTCTTAATTATGTTCAGGAAATAATAAATAATAATTTATTATTATGAAAGAGAACATATATAAATCTATAAGGAAAACACTAAGCCTTAAATAGGAAAAAACAGATAAAAATATATAAAGTTTATATACATGCATATGTAAATTACATAAGAAAAACAGAAATGGCTAATGAACACATGGTTAAATGAACCATGTTACATATAATATGACATCCTCTGCTCCGGTTAAAACCAAAAAAGGAAGTTGGGTATGGTGGCACATCCCTATAGTCCCAGCTACTTGGGAGGCTAAGGCAGAAGGATCACTTGAGCCCAGGAGTTCAAGTCTAGCCTTGTCTACACAGTAAGACCATATCTCAAGGAGAAAAAATAAGGAAAGTTAAAAACCATAAATTTATCCCCAAAATATATAGAATGTAAGTTTTTAAAGCCCAATAAACTATGCATCTATGTATTTACCTATCTGCACACACACATTTAAGTATAGCAAAAGGTCTACAAAGATACATTCAACTGATAAAAGTGGGTACTTATAGGGATGGAAAGGGAAAGAGAGAGGAGACAGTCAAAGAGGGCTCTGTATAGTGTTAAAATTTTTGAGATGTATTCATCTATCATTTGCATAACTAAAAAGAAGTTAAAATATAGTACTGGGCACATTAAAAATAATGTAACAAATAGACATTGTGGACATTGGCTCAATGTCACCTATTATTCAAAGGAATGTAAATTGAACCAACGCAATATTTTGTATTAAATTGGCACTTTAAAATATTCAATGCTACTGATAGTAAAATGAGATGAATGCTTCCCTACACAGGGAACCATTATCCATCAGGAGCCTTAAATATGCCCATGCTGTTTGACACAGTTCCAGTTTGAATCTATCTTAAGGAAATAATTAGAAATGAGGATAAAATTTGTATTACTGTTTTCACTACTAAGATGCAAAATTACCCAATCGTTCAACAACAGGGAAGCGATTTACAAAACTGAGATATTCACATAGTTGAATAGTATGCAGCCATTAAAAATTATATTCATGCAGAAATGCTTCAGATATTAAATGAGGACAGCAGGATGCAAAAATAGTCTTAAAAATATAAAATATATACACATAGAAAAAGAATAGGCAAAATACACCAAATAGGTTAACAAAATGATAGCTGTGTTCTCACACCTTTCTTGTTTAGTTTTGTATCCACAGCAACTCAAACAGTTTCCAGCTTATGGCATCAGACATGCAGACATTGCTAAGTGAATAACTTTTCCATTAAAAACAATAGCTATTGGCCAGATGTGGTGACTCATGCCTGTAATCCCAGCACTCTGGGAGGCCGAGGCGGTTGAATCACCTGAGGTCAGGAGTTCAAGACCAGCCTGGCCAACATGGTGAAACCGTCTCTACTAAAAATACAAAAATTAGCCCGGCATGGTGGCAGGTGCCTGTAGTCCCAGCTACTCGGGAGCCTGAGGGAGGAGAATCACTTGAACCTGGGAGGGAGAGGTTGCAGTGAGCCAAGATCACACCACTGCACTCCAGCATGGTGAGAAAGTGAGAGTCCATCTCAAAACAACAACAACAACAACTATCATCTTAAAAAGTGTCTAGTCTTTTTAATTGTACCCTAGCTGTTCATATGAAGCATGCCTATGCACAGAATTTATTCTGAGAAATGCTGCTGCAAGTATTTCCTTAAAGCAAGCTTATTTTTTTTTTCTTTGAGATGGAGTCTCACTCTGTCACCAGGCTGGAGTGCAGTGGTGCAATCTCAGCTCACTGCAACCTCCGCCTCCCGGGTTCAAGCGATTCTCCTGCCTCAGCTTCTCAAGTAGCTGGGATTACAGGTACAGGTGCACCACCACACCTAGCTAATTTTTGTATTTTGAGTAGAGATGGGGTTTCACCATGTTGGCTAGGATGGTCTCGATCTCTTGACTTCGTGATCCACCCGCCTCGGCCTCCCAAAGTGCTGGGATTACAGGCATGAGCCACCACGCCAGGCCAAGCTTAAATTCTTAATGGGCTGATTCACAGATACCACTCTATGACCACAGGATCTAGGTGTTAAGATGGAAACTTGACTCTTCTGAACATCAGCTCTAGAGTCTGAGATGCTCTCACACCTCTGATTCAGCCACTTTTGGGGGAGAGGGGCCAAGCTTGGCCTTTATGGCTGCTACCCAACCCCACTCAGACATGAATGTATTACGTCTCAGTGGGAATTTCCTAGGCAGAGCTTCAAACTAGACAAATGTAGTTAGTATTACTGTATTAGATTTCATTTTTATACATTCTTCTTCTTTACTATATTGATATCCCTTCTTGCTTCACATCCTTCAGTTCTTCCCCCACACATATCCACTCCTTGTAATCAAAATCCTCATTTCCAGCTGGGCACAGTGCTCATGCCTGTAATCCTAACACTTTGGGAGGCTGAAGTCGAAAGATCTCTTGAGCCCAGGAGTTTGAGACCAGCCTGGGCAACACACCAAGACCCCATCTCTACCAAAAATCAAAAATTAGTCAAAAATGGTGGTGCACGCGTATAGTCTCAGCTACTCAGGAGAATGAGGTGGGAGGATCCCTTGAACCCAGGAGATCAAGGCTGCAGTGAGCTGTGATTGTGCCACTGCATAAACAGTCAAGACCCTGTCTCAAAAAAATGAACAAAGAAACAAACAAACAAACAAAAAAAACCCATTTCCTTTTGAGGAATAAACCTATCAGAAATATTTAGATTTAAAATGATAGAATATATAATTATTGAGATTTTAAATGATTAGAACTACCAGGAATATTTGGAGTAAAGGGTCAACAAGGCACCTGTTAATAATCATGTTTTTATTGCTGTATTAAACTGCTTAATTACAAAAATAATTCTACATGCTCACAGAAAACATTTTATGTACAGCACTAAAGCTCTAAGAGGAAAAACTACCTAGAATTTCACTTCTCAAAGATAATCCAAGTGAATATTTTGATTAATGCCCTTCCAGGTCTCTCCTCCATGTTTACAAAGTTTCCTTATTGAAATCTTAATCTGTTTATTATAGCATGTTTTTCATACATTTTGTCCCATGTCATACTTTTCTTCATACATGAAAAATATGAAAAACATGCTATAATCATTGTCATCATTAAAAACATGCTATAATCATTGTCAAGATTATGCAATAGTCTATCATATAGGTGAATTATATTTATTCAATCCCCTTTTGGACATCATCTGGGTTGCTTCCAATGTTCAGCATTTAGGCATCCTCAGAGTGAAATCTCTGAATACATCACTAATCATTTCCTTAGAAGTTACTCTTAGAAGTAGAGTAACAGAGAGACAAAGGGTTGACACATTGCTTCTTGTTTGGTCCCCAGGCCTTCCAGGGAAAACAGCCCACTGAGTCATCTTAGCATTTGCATTTCTCTCAAGCTCCTTTGGCTGAATTTTCCCAGTCTGCATCTCTAACATGTCTAACTGAATGACTGATACATATCAATGCATATCCCAGGACCCTCTACTGATCTTGTTTGATCCTTAGTTCAAACCTTTGTTTTTTCCACACAGTAGCTTTCTGATCAACGGACAAAGTAACCTTTTCTCCAGAAAGTTTGGAGTATGGAGCCTGTACCTCCAAATCTCAAACCCTCCTACTGCTAAGACTACTCACCTGGGATGGTGTCAGAGATAAAATGTTGGGGTACTCAGCCCTCTACCCCATTTCATGATGCTAACACTTAATTTACTTAGCATCATCCTGTTTCTTTTCTTTTTTTTCTTTATATATATATATAGATATATATATATTTTATTATACTTTAAGTTCTAGGGTACATGTGCACAACGTGCAGGTTTGTTACATATGTATACATGTGCCATGTTGGTGTGCTGCACCCATTAACTCGTCATTTACATTAGGTATATCTCTTAATGCTATCCCTCCCCGCCACCCCCTGCCCGCCCCCATTCCACAACAGGCCCCGGTGTGTGATGTTCCCCATCCTGTTTCTTTTTGTGAAACCAAGGTTTCAGTGGGACTACATGCTGGTAGTTTTTGAAATAGGAATGTTGCCTGAGTGGAACAGTAGCTGCTTAGGATTATTCCCTAGGTCATAGAGCTTGTCTACATTGTACCGTCAGGAAGAATGAGGTTACAAAGCAGAATTCAAGAAGAGTGACACCTTCACTGTGAGAGCACAAAAGCCATCCAAGAAGATGGCTTCAACCATTTGCTTATTTACCCTACAAGTAACTAAGCTCAAACTGCATCTATTAAGCCATATGAATCCCATTACATATTAAATGTTTGGTCAGTTCTCAAGAAGGCACTGCTACTCAGGAGGCTGGGGCAGGAGGCTTGCTTGAGCCCAGCTATTCAAAGTTACAGTGAGCTATGATTATGCCACGGCACTCCAGCCTGGGCAACAGAGTGAGATCCTGCTCTGGAAATACAGAGATTAAACAAATAATAATAAGGTGCTGGATAAGATGCAGATAAAACCAAAGAGCTTATCAGGGGTGGGTGGGTGGGCTCACACCTGTAATCCCAGCACTTTGGGAGGCCGAGGCAGGCAGATCATGAGCTCAGGAGATCGAGACCATCATGGCTAACATGGTGAAACCCCGTCTCTACTAAAAATACAAAAAAATTAGCCGGGCGTGGTGGTGGGTGCCTGTAGTCCCAGCTACTCAGGAGGCTGAGGCAGGACAATGGCATGAACCCGGGAGGCGGAGCTTGCAGTGAGCCAAGATCATGCCACTGTACTACAGCCTGGGCTACTGAGTGAGACTCCATCTCAAAAAAAAAAAAAAAAAAAAGAGATAGCTTATCAGGGGTGCCTTCAGCATTCTGGACAGGACAATCCTTCATTAAGTGGGACCCTCCCACTCCCAACTACTGAAAGGTATTTAGCATCCCACACCCTCAGGACATTAAATCCTGATATACACACCCCTCATCATCATGACCACTGAAAATGTTCCCACACATTTCAAAACACCAGAGGAGAGGGATGACACCATTCCCCACTGACAACTTCTGTGTCTACTTAGTGGGATGGAATTCACATTCAGGAAATGACAGAAAACAATACTGATCTGGAGGTGGAACTGTGAGATAAAAGCTGTAAGTATCATTAAGTGGTCAAAGGCGATCCAAAAGAGTAGAGCAAGTTTTGATAAGAACAGGAGATGGAGACTTGTAACCTTCCCCAGAATCCAGTCCAGGGTTAAAGTCTGCCATGAAATGCCTTCTCATCAACACCCTGGATTTCCCCTACTTAAGCTGATTACATGAACTAATACAAGGAAACCACCGAACTCGGTGAGCAGCACATCCTACACACTTGGCAATGCCAACTTTTAAAACACAGGTATTGTTCCTGTCCTCCTGCTCAGGGCAAGCGTTCTTGCCATGTGGGCATCCAGGGAGGGCAGAACAGTGACAGCCCTGGTGAGCATGAAGGGCACTGCTGGCCTTCCCCTGCCGGGCTTCTCCAGAGGACTCAACCATAGGCCCCACCCATTCACTGCTGGACTGAGGAGATCTGACCCCTGTCTAGTTCCTTCCCGCCTGTGTCAGCTGTGGTCAAAGGGCCATTGTTCCCGGAAGGCCAGTGTGTTTTAGCCATCTAGGAACAATGCCCCTTGTTGATCCTCTGTGCTCCAGTTGAATAAGGTCATAGACTGTTTTCAACCTTAGTCACAATCAATATCATCACCTTTTATTGTATAGTGTTGGCATTGATATGTTTTCTGATAACATCTATATGCTCAGGTGAGACTGAAAAGGTCGGTGAATGAGCCATCTTTTATGGATCCTGTTCGAAATTTATTAATGACACAGTATACACTAAGTATTATATGGGACCTGATTCTCAAACTTATGGAGCTTATTTAAAGTACAAAGTGATCACTTTAAAATGCAGTTTTCTGGGCCTCTCAAATTCTGATTCAGTAAGTTGTGGGGGCATGAACCTGCAAATTAACCATCCCCACATGTTTCTGATACAGGTGATCCATGGGTATGCTTTGTGAAACACTGCCACAGAATGATAGTAAACTGAATTTAAAATGAGCATCTTCTTCTTGATGTTTTATATTCTATCTCCTTGAAATGGATCTTTCACTAGCAAAATAAACATTAAGTAAAAGTCCAATGGAAACAAGAAATCAACTTAATTATGAAAGAAAATTAGAGTCCCTGCTGTAAGGCTCATATATAGACATGATAAGCCTATGCAACTGAAAGTTTAATTTATGTGTATATAAAATTTACATTTTAGTCTGCATAAGAGAGTGGCTAAACAGAAAATGATTATTTATGTCAAAGCATACTGAATGTAATTATACAACCTTATATTTGAATATGCTCTACTAATTTTTCAGTATTTCTTACTTAATCTTCATGAAAGAATTATCTTATCTTACAATCTGATGACCTGTATTAGACTGGCATGAAAATTAAGGCATGAAAAGTTTATGCAACATGTTTAAAGGTCAATACAAGGACCTAAACATCCAGAAGGTGATGACATTTTCTGCTAGATTAGAAATGTCAAATAGGTTTCATGCCACATGCCAATTCACACAGACCAGTAGAGTACTAAGAAAGCCAGCCCAGGGGAAGGATGTGGTGATAAATTAGTAATAAATAGACTGGCTCGTCTGGCAGGTAAAAAAAAATGGTGGCATCTGTGCCACACCTCATGCTAGATATGCCAACTCTCAGAGTATTTAGCAGCACTTAAAATACTCACAATTACCACTACTCTCATTCTTTCACTCAACAAATATGAATAAGCATCCACTATATGCCAGCCACTAGACATATACCAACAGACTGCTATCAAGGGGGTCAATGTCATGCAATAAGGTGGTTTCTAACCTAAGGCTTTCTCTGACAAAATGAGATTTAAGGGGGAACTAAAGAAATAATTAAAGTCAACAATTTGAAAAAAGAGAGAGGAAAGTGGAAGTGAATGCTATCTCAGAGAAACCAAAACTAAGCCACCATGACTGGATTGAAGAGGGGGAACACGGAGGGCTGGGGATTAGTGGGCAACTGCCAGGTCATGCGAGTCACTAAGGTTATGAAATTATGATTTCAACTTAAGATCATGGGAAGTCATGGAAAAGTTGAGTCCTGCAGGTTTGTTTGTTTTTTGTTTTGGCTTTTAGGGGAAGGAGGTGAATTACCAGATTTCCATTTCATAAAGAGGGTGGAAAAGAGTCACAGTGAGTATGAATAGCAACTGCAGTCACCCAGGTGACTGGACCAGGAGGGTGGATTTGAGATACTTTTTGGAGGCAGAATCAACAGAAACTTGGTTTGGGAAAGAATACAGGGGATGACAGCATGGAAGACCAAGATTCAGCTCTGATTGAAGTGCTTCAGATACATTCAATTAGAAACTCCACAAGGCAACAGGACCAACCAGCGTTGGAGACCTTGGGAAAGGACTTTTGAAAATGTGGGGGTTTCAGGCACAGAAAAAGGTAAGATCCAAACAAAACACTAATTCTTTATCTTCTATTTTCCGATTCTAGTTAAGTTTTATAATACTTATGCTGTTATACTCATGAAGACTTAATCCAGTAGAGATGTTACCATGTAAGTCTCTGGTTTTCTAAATTATAGCACTTACTGCAACTTTTTACCTCTCAAAGCAACTTAATTCAAGCAACCATAAAACTCCTATTGAAAATGTTTCTTAAGGAGTACTGTACATTACTGCCTTGTATGGTATACCAACATAATTTCATCTTTCATTGACTATCTAATACATCATGTGACTCAACATCTGTATGAGGGGCATTAATTTTACCATCCAGGCTCTGTCTTCATGATGACTCGAGCTCTTCCCTGAAGGCCCCCTTCCTGTGTGAATGGCAAACACCTAGCTCAGCTTGCCAGGTCATCTTGCCATACTCAAAGCCCACAGAGAGTGGTTGTTAAGCTGCCCCACTTGGAGACAAGACCAGGGATGGGGCCAAGATCCTCGAAAATGGAATAAAAATGCTGGCCCCTGGCTGAGCCACCCACTCTGGGAGATGTTTGGGAAGGAAAAGGGGTTGTTTTGAGTTTAATCAAGAGAACCAGGGTGGAGCCTCCAGAAGTTACAATTAGCACCAAATTGCAGGGTTCATGCACTTTTAAAAAAAGGATTTTTATTCCTGGAGCCAAAGTTTTCTTTTCTGTTAAAATACAACCTCCTAGGAAGAAGGCACTAAAACCTCTGCCAGTTACTTCCACTTCGAGGAGCATGTTTGATTTTTTTCCTGCCAACAAGTTTTAATGGAATAGATGAGTATGCTGGTGTCTAGAAGGGGAAGAGGCTGCATGTCCCACTCTTTTGCCTAAAATCACCGTGGCAGGAACCATTATCTTTTCTTAAAATCCTCCACCAAAGCCACCACCACTAGCATCAGATTCTCATGACACACAGCTTTGAAGCTACAGCAACCAAATTAGACCTTCTCATGGGGGAAAAGAAACTGAACACAGTCACACTCTGTGACTCCCACTTTTCGTTCTTCAAAGACTTCTACGGCATAAAATACATGGAAACAAAATTTTCCAGGTTCTATGTCTCAAAAAATGGCCGGAAGCATGTTTATTATTCTCCTTAAGATTATTTTTAAAAATTCAAAAAAGATCTTACACACATATGTGTTTACAGTGATTTAAAAAAAATCACTGTTTTGAAGTGTTGCCACTCATATTATTCTTAGACATTTGTTTAAGAACAGATTATGAGATACTTGAAAGATTGAGACAAAGAAGAAACACTAAAATTTCTATGATGTCACCAACCTGGGCTTAGAGCAGAAAATATGTATATTTGCTCTTAAAAAAAAGTGGTTAAGAGAGAATTTATGAATAACATAAGTCCAAATAAAATGGTTAAAAAGCAAAAAGCAAACTACCATAAAGAAAAGTGTATAGGAAAACAGAGAAAACAGAGAAGGTATACACACACACACATGCACACACACACATATACAGAAATGCACTTATAGAGAGAGGGGAGAGAGATATATATAACCTATAAATATTATATATATTATATTATATATAACAATGATATATATTAAATATTATTCAAAAAGTCTCAATTATTGTTTAATTTTTTCATTTGTTTTTCAGCAACCATTCCTGCAGGGTTTTTTTGGTTATTGTAATGTAATGCCAAGTGCAAAAAAAAAAAAAAAAGAAAGAAAAAGGAAGTCTTCTCAGTTTGTTTTGTTTTTAAAACACAAGTTACCTGCTTCTCAGACCAACAGGATGCCATCACTGTTTAGACTTGGACCTGCTTCCTTCAAACACACACAGTGTCTATATGATAGCTCTTGGGACAATTTTAACAAGGGACATTAGGCATCCACATCTGATCTTCCACAATCCAGACAGTACAGGGAAATAAAGTTAGCACCCAAACTGTCTTGGAGACCAAGTGTTGACTTTGTGCAGAGCAATGAACATGTCAAGGCAAACTTAGAATTTCCATTACAATATGCTCAGCTGGAAAAAAAAATGAGTATGTGGCAAGGCTGGCAACTTGACTTACAAATGACTATAAAATATGTGGCTGCTTTTCTAATCACTTGGAATTATGGAAAGGAAAGAGGACAGCAGAGACATAAGGCAGGGCACTTTAACACATCCACACAGGAGGCCCAAGAGCTGGCCCTCAATCAAGTTATTTCAAAAAGCCAAGGTGAGTAGATATACACATTACATAGTTAACATTACATATATCAAGTTGTAAAAAATTAGTAATCATTAGAACAAGAGCGTAGGCTAAGAAACAAATATGTGGTAGAGGTAAAAAAATCATACTGATTGTCAGGAAAAGAAGTTTCTGTAGGAACTGGGGCCTGCAGGCCAAGGGAACCCTGAAACAAAGTGTGGCTGATGTTCCACTTATAGAGGAGACAGGAGGAATAATGGGGTTTTGAGGTCAAAATAATCAGATTGGGAGCAGTTGCTTCTGCAGGAAGTAGACAGGAACTTCCTTACGAATCCCAAAAGCCAAAGACCCAAACTAATAATCTTCTTGTTAAAACTAAAAACTCAGCTTAATTTGGCCCAATGACCATTCTTGTGAATAAACTTTCTAGGTAAGTTTTTAAACCAAAAGATTTTTTTTTACTTGGTTCCAAATGTCTTCTATGTTTAGAAAAATTTTTTAAAGAAAAGAAAAAATTCAAAGCCACATTCACTCAGGGGACAGAAAATTGGTCACTACAGGAGCCATACGAAGAACGTAGTGCTACAGCCCCAGAAGGCATTCCTCCAAGAGCCATCCCCAAAATGTCCGGCATGGGCAGCACTACCAAAATCAAAGCTTATTTTCCAAGTCAGAACATTCTGAGGAAGAAAAACTCCCTTGGATGTGTAGGTTCTGATACATTTATTTCTTAAACATTTATTTCTCACACATGCTGACATAGCTTATAGGAAGGTAATGACAACAATAAAAACCATATCAGGTGACAGCTACTGAATGCCAGGAACTGTCTGAAGTGCTTCATGAATTAACTCACTTAATCCTCCCAGCAACTCTGAGGTAGTTATGTCCCCATTTCACAGATGAGGAAACTGAAGCCCAGAAAGGTAAAGTAAGGTGACTAAGTCACACAGGGAGACACGGAGGATATGAACCTCTTACAGACACCATGACAAATACAGGAATCCAGAGCTCTAAACAAGGCATTCCTGCATGTATATATTTAATGCTACATTAACCAGGACATTATCTTGCTTCGGTGAAGGCAAACAAGTTTAAGAGCCTTCTTTACTTCATTTGCATATGCCTCTCTCTCACTCAGATTTTCAGCTGCAACTGAGAGTTTTTTTGATCACATTCTACTTTTTCCTTAATAAATTAAAATCAAAAGCTTTTATTGAAAAGGTAAGACAATGTATCAGATCTGACTAACTGCAAATTCCAGAAGAAGTAAAACTGAAGTAGGTTCTTTGTACAATAAACTAAAATGCAACCTTGCAGTTTTACAGGGTGAAATATTTTGAAGATATGAGATAAACAAGGAAAAACAGAAAGTACAGTATAAACAGGAGCCAGGTGGATGCTAGGAAGTTCCTGAAGCACACAGCATTGGTCTCAGAAACTCGGTCCCAACATGCCATGAAGCCCAGAGGTGGGACATGCTACAACTACCCCTTTTCATTTGCCCCAAGAAGAAACGTGTGCCGCGTATTTCCATTTATGTGTTCCAACTATTGATACTACCTCCATCTTTATTTGTGGTTGGTAAATAATTTGGTTAAATTATTCATAGCTTCTTTATGAAGGAGCACAAGGGAAGTGAAATGAACACAGCATTGGTGGCCACTGTTGCTCTGAGGTGAAAATGGTAGCACGTGTACAATAAAAGCAAGAAATGAGGACACAGTAGCTTTGAGGATGACAAGGCAGCTATTTCCCGGAAGCACACAGAGAACATCAGTAACCTACTTCAAAGGGGGAAGCTTTATAATATGAATGGGAATGGCAGGGCCCCTCTGCCCCAGTGCCTTAAGGTTCCTAGTGTCACAGAAGCATAGAACAAGTGACCATCCTTTAAAAATGTCTTCTCCTTTCAGGTTTCTAGAGGCAGTGAATTTAAAAAGAAGTATTTGTGTGTCCCCTGTGCTGGGTGAGGTGTCAGAGCCAAGGCATTGGAAAGTAGTCGACTCATGGGTTGGTAAGAAGAAGTTCCCAACAACAGTACAGGTCTGAAAAGGAAAGGGTTTTGTTGTTGTTGCTGTTTGTTTTGTTTTGTTTGTTTTTGAGACAGAGTCTCGCTCTGTCACCCAGGCTAGAGTGCAGTGGTGTGATCTCGGCTCACTGCAACCTCCACCCCTGGGTTCAAGCGATTCTCCTGCCTCAGCCTCCTGAGTAGCTGGGATTACAGGAACCCACCACCTCGCCTGGCTAATTTTTGTAGTTTTTTAGTCGAGACAGGGTTTCACCATGTTGGCCAGGTTGGTCTCAAACTCCTGACCTCAGGTGATCTGCCCACCTTAGCCTCCAAAATGCTGGGATTACAGACGTGAGCCATGATGCCCAGCCAGGTAAGTTTTATTAGAAAGAAAGAATGCGGTAGAAGAGTACAGCAGAGTGACTCGGCAAGAGAGGACTGTTCATGGTGGATTTTTCTCTTGGGGTATTTATGGAGCTTAAAGCAGAGCTTAAGGGTAATTTAGACCATATCAGCCTCATAGGTCATAATAAATGATTATATTCATAGACATTCTGTGCAAAGGTTGCACAGTGAGTTTTGACATGCATGCATTCTGGAGATATACAAAAACTCTAGTTACTTATACATTTTGGGGAAAGAAGCCTGGAACCACAGGCCAGCTTTAGATAACAGGGAAGTCTAAATACTTCTAAATTCCTCAGATAAGGAGTTCTGCCTCGGATAGACTGCTTGATGGCCACCAGGTGACCTCTGCTCTCCTCACTCCTGCTTGGTGATTTGGTGATTCTGTTGGTTGGACAATGTGGGAGGAGTGCAATCTTTCTCCTGGTTCTGCTTTAGAAAGTTTTCCTGCTAAATAATAGCACCCTGTAGCAACAAACACAAGGCTCAGCCACTGCAGTAAAACCACAAGATGGAGTTTTTGAAAGAGGATTGTAACAAAAGACCCTGCTTAGGGCTCTAGAACTAGAAATACCATTTGACCCAGCCATCCCATTACTGGGTATATACCCAAAGGATTATAAATCATGCTGCTATAAAGACACATGCACATGTATGTTTATTGTGACACTATTCACAATAGCAAAGACTTGGAATCAATCCAAATGTCCAACAATGATAGACTGGATTAAGAAAATGTGGCACATATACACCATGGAATACTATGCAGCCATAACAAATGATGAGTTCATGTCCTTTGTAGGGACATGGATGAAGCTGGAAACCATCATTCTCAGCAAACTATCACAAGGACAAAAAACCAAACACCGCATGTTCTCACTCATAGGTGGAATTTGAACAATGAGAACACTTGGACACAGGAAGGGGACCATCACACACCAGGGCCTGTTGTGGGGTCGGGGGAGAGGGGAGGGATAGCATTAGGAGATATACCCAATGTAAATTATGAGTTAATGGGTGCAGCACACCAACATGGCGCATGTATACATATGTAACAAACCTTCACGTTGTGCACATGTACCCTAAAACTTAAAATATAATAATAAAAAAAAAGACCCTGCTTAGAACTTGTGGCACTTGCTTTTCCTCCCTTATACCTAAATATTTTAATCCTCATTTTACAGATTTTTAAAACTTGGAATTTCTCTTTAATCAAATGCTGTTTCCATCCCAAAATAGGTATTACTGTTCAGAAATGAGCCTAACAGAGACTCCTGGTTTACAGGAACATGCCCATGGCCTGACAAAGGAGTATACTCTATATCACTAAATTAATTTGCTTAAAGAAGACAGATGTCTAGAGGAGGCACAGAAGAGTTGTTTCTATTGAACCAAACGTACAAATCACAACATTTGAGGAATTAAATAACAAAAAAGGACTCCACTCCAGAATCAGTGGTTTTGTGTCCAAAATAATTTCAAGAGTAAAGGGATTATTTTAAAAATTCAGACCATATAGACCACTAGCTAGCATAAAAAAGAAGATAAAAGAGAGTAAAAGCAAATAAACACAATCAGATAAGGGGGATATCACCACTGACCCCACAAAAATACAAACAACCATCGGGGAATACTAAAAACCACCTCTGTGCATATAAACTAGAAAATCTAGAATAAATGGATAAATTCCTAGATACATATACTCTCCCAAAACTTAACCAGGAAGAAATTGAATCCCTGAATAGACCAATAATGAGTTCTGAAATTGAGGCAGTAATAAATAGCCTAGCAACCAAAAAAAGCCCAGTACCATATAGATTCACAGCTGAATTCTACCAGATATACAAAGAAGAGCTGGTACTATTTCTACTGAAACTATTCCAAAAACTGAAAAGGAGGGACGCCTCCCTAACTCATTCTATGAGGTCAACATCATCCTGATACCAACACCTGGCAGAGATACAACAAAAAAAGAAACCTTCAGGCCAAAATCCTTGATGAACATTGATGCAAAAATCCTCAAGAAAATACCGGCAAACCAAATCCAGCAACACATCAAAAAGCTTATCCATGATAATCAAGTCAGTTTCATTCCTGGGATGCAAGTTTGGTTCAACATATGCAAATCAATAAATGCAATTCATCACATAAACAGAACTGAAGACAAAAACCACATAATTATTTCAACAGATACAGGAAAGGCCTTTGATAAAATTCAACATCTCTTCATGTTAAAAACTCTCAACAAACTAGGTACTAAAGGAACATACCTCAAAATAACATGACAAACCCACAGCCAATATCATACTGAATGGGCAAAAGCTGGAAGCATTCCTCTTGAAAAATGGCACAAGACAAGTGTATTAGTCCATTCTCACACTGCTATAAGGATATACCTGAGACTACCATTGATATTCTTCATAGAACTAGAAAAAACTATTTTAAAATTCATATGGAACCAAAAATGAGCCCAAATAGCCAAGGCAATCCTAAGCAGAAAGAACAAGGCTGGAGGCATCATGCTACCCAACTTCAAACTATACTACCAGGCTACAATAACCAAAACAGCATGGTACTGGTACAAAAACAGACACATAAACTAATAGAACAGAATACAGAACTCAGAAATAAGAGTACACATCTACAGCCATCTCATCTTTGACAAACCTGACAAAAACAAGCAATGGGGAAATGATTCCCTATTTAATAAATGGTGCTGGAATAACTGGCTAGCCATATGCAGAAAACTGAAACTGGACCCCTTCCTTACACCATATACAAAAGTTAACTCAGGATGGATTAAAAACTTAGTGTAAAACCCAAAACTATAAAATCCCTAGAAGAAAGTCTAGGCAATACCACTCAGGACATAGGCCCAGGCAAAGATTTCATGACGAAATGCCAAAAGCCATTGCAACAAAAGCAAAAACTGACACATGGATCTAATTAAACCAAAGAACTTCTACACAGCAAAAGAAACTATCATCAGAGTGAACAGACAACCTACAGAATGGGAGAAAATTTTTGCAATCTATCCAACTGACAAATGTCTAATATCCAGAGTCTACAAGGAACTTAAATTTACAAGAAAAAAAAACCATTAAAAAGTGGGTAAAGGACATGGGCAGACAATTCTCAAAAGAAGACATACATATGGCCAACTAACAGGAAAAAAAGCTTCATCACTGATCATTAGAGAAATGCAAATCAAAACCACAATGAGATACCAACTCATGCCAGTCAGAATGACTGTTACTAAAAAGTCAAAAAACAACAGATCCTGGCAAGGCTGCAGAGAAAAAGGAACGCTTATATACTGTTGGTGGGAAGGTAAATTAGTCCAACCATTGTGGAAGACAGTGTGGTGATTCCTCAAAGACCAAGAGGCAGAAATACCATTTGACCCAGCAATCCCATTACTGGGTATACACCCAAAGGAATATAAATCATTCTATTATAAAGATACATGCACACGTACATTCATTGCAGCACTATTCATAATAGTAGAGACACGAAATCAACCCAGATGCCCATCAGTGATAGACTGGATAAAGAAAATGTACATATACACCATGGAATACTACGAAGCCATAAAAAGGAATGAGATCATGCCCTTTGCAGGGACACACATGGCATTGGAAGCCATTATCCTCAGCAAACTAACACAGGAATAGAAAATGAAACACCACATGTTCTCACTTATAAGTGGGAGCTGAATGATGAGGACACATGGACACAGGAGGGGAACAACACATATTGGGGCCTGCCAGAGAGGGATGGTGGGGGAGGGAGAGCATCAGGAAGCATAGCTAATGGATGCTGGACTTAATACCTAGGTGTTGGGATGATACATGCAGCAAACCACCATGGCACACGTTTACCTATGTAACAAATCTGCACATCCTGCACATCTATCCCTGAACTTGAAGAAAAAAAGGTAAAAAAAATTCAGATCATTGCACTAATTTGGTGACTCTGCTTTTCTCTTTATAAGACATGCAGATTAAAGTGTAGTCACATGTGTTCTCCCAGGTTTATGCAAAAGAAATGAAAAATTTTAAATGCCAGGAGCCAATCAAAAACAAATAAGTATTCCCAGGATTATTAATTCCATACAACCGAGGCTCAGCCAGAATTCCTCTCTGCCATCAATTATCTCAGAAACACCACAGCTATTAAAAGCTACATAAACCACCATCTAAAAAAGATAAAGCAGAAAGTTCAACGGGAAATAATTTTGAAATTGACTGGAGACACCACATAAAAATCAAATTAAAAATGCAGACTCCATTAACTTGGATTCTGTGACTTTCCAAACTGGGTGGAGTTTAAGTCCACCTTTCAGTCTTTTCCAAGAAAAGGAGACTGCACACATTAGTAAATACAACAGGCAGAGTAGATATTTTAAGACAATCTACTTTTTTAAATTGTATACATTTGCTTGTAAGCAAACAGACTGCTTAATCACTAACTTTCTTTTCCCTAAGAAGGAATCTAATCTATGCAAAAATCCTTGGTAGCAAATAATAGGCCACTGCTTCCTGCCTCTTTTCATTACCTCACCAAGCACCCATTTCCAAATTTCCCAATGAAGCAACTGCAAGTTCTAATCCCTCTATCTAATTTGCATGAAGCTGCGGACTAGCTATCCTGAAGCACAGCTTTTATCAGCCCTACAATACACCCTTCCTGCCAAAGAGAGTTAACATGCCTTGGACTGGTTTTCAAGGCCAACACCTCTGGCTCCAGCCTTATCTTCTACTGCCCTTCCTCCCAGCCCTCTCCAGCAGCCAGACTCCTATACTATCTATCCCGGAACCTTGACTTAAAAAGGCACACTCACCAATCTGCTACCCTGGCATGCCCTGAGATTGTACTAATACACCTGCTTCTCTGACCCCTCCTCGTCAACCTCCTTTGACAACTTTTACCTCTGCTTAAACCCTTGAACTCCTTGGAAAACTGGCTGATTCTAGGTCTGGGGCAAGCAAATATTCAAGATGAGCCTGAGCATCCTGGAATGCCAGAAAATAAGGACGTACTAAAACATACACACACTGTAAGAACTCCCGAAGGCCAAAGCTGGAACAACTTGACCAACCAAATAAATAATGTAGTATTGCATTATAACCTGAAGCATAAATTAAATATCCATGAATCCATACTAAAAAATAAATCATTGATTAAATAAATGGGAGCGAATATGCAAACCTTCTGTGCAGAAGAATTCAAAGTAATTTATGTAGACATTCCAACCACAAGGAGAAGCGTAACTTCTCCCTACTCCTTTTGTGTGGGCTACATATAGTGACTTCCTTCCAAAGGGCACAGTATGGAAAGGGTGAACAAAAGTAACTTGACAGTGGAGAAACCTGCCAAACACTAGCTCAGCTTGATCAGGTGATCAAGCTCAATATCAACGTGAGCAGTCATGTTGGTACTATGTACTCTAGATATAATACGATGAAAATGGCACTTCATTTCTGTGATCTTCCTCACAAAAACCCATAACCCCAATCTAATCATTAGAAAAGCATCAGACAAATCCCAATTAAGGGACATTCTATGAAACACCTGACTGGTACTCCTCAAGACTGTCAAGGTCATGAAAAACCAGCAAGGCCTGAGAAACAGTCACCGTCTAGGGCTCAAAAGAGACATGGCAACTAGATGTAATGTGGAATACTGAATGGGATCATGGAAGAGAAAAGGGACACTAGGTAAAAACTAAGAAAATATTTAAAAATTATGACTTGAGTTAATAATAAGATATCAATATTGGATCATTAGTTATGAGGAATGTTTCATATCGATATAAGATATTAGCAGTAGGGGAAACTGGATCTGGGAATATGAGAACTCTGTACTATCTTTGCAACTTTTCTGTAAATCTAAAAGTATTCTAAAATTAAAAGCTTATTTTACAAAACTGTCTTTGGCTCCTCTCCCTCCCATACCCCATACCCAGGCTTATAGTAGATTCTATGTCCAAAATGTCTTTCTGCTGTTCCCTTCCCTCCCATTCCCTCTGCCATCCCCCTGTTCATTGTATTCTCCGATCCATCCTCCACACAGCTGCTGGAGTAAGCTTTCTGACACACAAATCTGAAGATACCACCTCCCTGATCAAAACCCTTTCATGGCTTCCCACTACTTATATCAGGGTTGGCAAACTTTTTGTGTAAAAGCTCAGATTTTTTAAGCCCTGCAAGCCTATCCCCTACTCTGCTATTATAGCACCAAAACAGTCACACGCAATATGCAAACAAATTGATGTGGCTGTGTTCCAATAAAACTTTATTTATAAAAACAGGCAGAAGGCTGGATTTGGCCCACAAGTTACAGTGTGCCAATCCTTGGTCTAGAGAATCAAGTCCAAACTCCTCAGACAGGCACGCAAGGCATAACCCACATTATCCCTGAATCATTTAATTTTGTATATTTATCTTGGTTTTATTCTGTCCAATCAATTCCAAGCATGTTTAAGATATTAAGTAACAAAAAGTCAGTTAAAACACACTCTATGCCTTCAAAAGACTAACAGGCAACAAGTAACTCAACTCATGCTTCCTAAGGCATCTTCAAGTATTTTTTGATATGTAAGTAGACATACCCTTTAAAAAGAAGTGTTTTGTAATCAACTAAGTCTGAGGAATCCTGGGTTTGACAAGGTTAAGCAGCTTTCATTGCCACAGGAATTCTCAAAGCCTTCATTGTGCATTGGGAATCTCCTTAAAGAGGGATATATTACACAATGACTCTCAAGTCTGTTTGACAACAGAATTCTTTCACATTTTTAACATCTGTGTCCTGCAAAACAGTTAGGAAATTGTTGACGTTAAGCATACTCCTACAAGGCGGACTGAAAGTTCTATTAATATTTGCCACTGTAGTAGGCTAAATAGTGCCCCGTCCCCCGCCAAAAGATATCCATGTCCTAATCCCTGGAATCTGTGAATGTTATCTTACATGGCAAAAAGGACTTTACAGGTGTGATTAGGTTAATGACCTTGAGATGGGGGGATTATCCTGGTGGGCTCTAAATGCAATCAAAGGTATCCTTCCTTGTAAGAGGGAGGTAGACAGTGACCTGACACCAAAGAGAAGAGAAGAAGGCAGTGTGAACACCAGAGCAAAGATGGGAGTAGGGCAGCCACAAATCAAGGGAGGCTGACAGGCACCATAAACTGGTAGAGGCAAAGATCAGATTCTCTCCTAGAACCTGCAGAGGGAGCACAGCCCTGCCAATGCCTTGATTAAGTCACCACATTTGTGGTCATTTGTTACAGCAGCTACAGAAATGAAAACAACCACGGTGCCAATCACAGCCATGGTGTTGTGATCTATGCCGACACTAAATATTCTTAAATGAAGTCACGTTAATGTTGTCCACAATAAGCTCACAATTAGCCTTAGTTAGCAAGGTTTTATCATCCACTTAAGGGAAAGAGTATAATTCAGTGGTTAACACTCTGGACCTGGATTTAACCCCTGGGGTTCAAATCCCAGCTTTAACATTTATTAGTTAAATATACCACCTTGGTCAAGGTGTTTAGCCTCTTTGTTACTCAGCTACTTCGTCTGTAAGATGGGATGATATTCATAGAGTTGCTCTGTGGGTTTAATGAGACCATGCACAAAAAGTACTTAGTATATTTCCTGACTTTACAGTAAATAAATGAAAACTCAATAAAAGAAAACTATTATTACATTATAGTATTACTGATTTTTAAGACAAAAAAATCTTTCACCCCAAGCTACATCTCATCATATTCTTCTATTTTCAGTTTGACAAATTATAAATCTTTACCCAATTTCTAGCTTGGGGCATTTAAAATGACCTCAGCAAGGTAAGGCAGGTGGAAAAGTTCATGCCTGCGTCTCTGAACCACTGCTTTTAGGTATCTGACTCAATAAACTATGACAGCTAATAGCTCCAAGACATGTGCTTCATGTGATGTGCTAAATTCACGTCACTCACTGAAAAGCCTAAAGTTACTCTTCTTGCATAGGTCATCTACATTAGTTAAATCAAAGTGCCAACAAAGGCCCATTTGCTAAATTATAAGCTACTGATGCTCCACTAGATAGTTTTTATCTTAATATTTAGTTATACTCAAAGCAACAGATGAAATTATTCAGATAAGACCCAATAAAGGAAAGGCACAAGGCACCTGAAAACAGAAGGGACACATAGGGTCTTGGTACAATATATGAAAGTCTTCCCAGCATGTCACCCAACTCACTCTGCACCTACAATCACCACCTAACCGTCACCTACTGCCACATCCCACAGCATCTCCAGCCTACACAGGTGACTTGGGAGTAACCATACATCATGCCTAATTAAAAATATGGGATCACCATTAGTCAAGAGGTGCTTGAGACTCAGAGCTTTGATTCCTAAAAACTTTAAGAGCCTTCTATTAAAACTGAAACATCCCTAGAAAAAGTAGTATTTTAATTCTTTATTAGTTACATACTGCAGTACTCATTGTCAGTAAATACACACAAAAACCCGTTCCGGTCTGTCAGTCAGGGAAAGACTATCCTGGAACTCACCAAAACCTCATTAAGGCCTACTAATTTCAGAAAAGCAAGCCTAAGCAAATGAAAAATTTAAACGTTAGTGATTTTTAAGAAGCACAACCTATATATTTTAACTTTAAAATATGAGTTGTAAATCCAAATGTCAATGGAGCCAGGCAGGGAAGACAGTTCCAGCTGGCAGGTATGAAAAAACAAAGGTTCCCTGCTAGTGCAAGTGGGAAGCGGCCTCTCAGCCCAAGCCAGCTGCTGCTAGAGGGAGTATGGCATGCAGGAGCAGGCTGCAGCCACCCAATGCAGGCACCGAGAAGGTTCAGGGGCTGGCCCCACCACAGCTCATCTAAAATGATTGGCTTTCTAGTTGCTATTCTTTTAAAATTATAAAAGTCATATGGGTGAATAAATTTAGTTCCAAGGGATATAAATTAAGAAGTAAAAGTCCTTCCCTTCTACTCCCCCAATTGCTAACAGATTACATCACTATGTATTCTTTTTCTAGACACACAAAATGTTCTACAAGTTGCTTTTTTCACTCAACAATATGTCGTGGACATCCTTCCACATCAGTACATTCAGATCTACTGCATTCTTTTTACCAAAAGCAGTTAGAGCACAGAATTTCAATGCTGGGAGATGCCTGAGAGGCTCTAGGCCAACTCTTTCCATTTAACAGACAGGGTTCCCAGAGGTCCTGGACACCTCTAACCATATAGGAAAGAAGCCAGAGCCTCCCCAAATGGGGTCACGCCAGCAGGTGTCACCAGCATCATGCCCTCATCTCTGCTATTCAAAGGAGCCTGAGCCTCAGCAAGAAAGAGGCCAAGGCTTCCCACGTGGCAGGTGAGAAGCAAGGGAGACAAAATTATCTTGGAACAAAGTAATGAATTGTAATCAGTGAAAAGCCTCACAAACATGAACTCTGTATTTTTTATTAGCAAATACCTAGAATCACTCTAAATTCATCCAAGTAACTCAATTAAAATATTAAAATTCACTTACCAGTCATATTCTACCTAGTTCCAAAATACATCTGGATTGGAGTCAACTCAGAATTGCATAAAGTTCACCATCTTCCTGCTTTGAGGCCTTAAAGAAACAGGGCAGGACCTGGCTCACAAATAAGCTGCTTATCTGAGCCAGCCAGAAGATTCCAATTACAGGGCTTCATGGGTACATCCAGAGCTGCAGCAGTGTAATAAGGAATGCGGTTGAGGCCTCTGCTTCAAAGATCATTCTTATACAAGGAAACATTTATTAAAAGAGGGAAGAACTGTAAACTTCCTATTTAAAATGTTAATTTTGTTAGTGACTCAAGGTACTGAGAAGCTAACTAAGTATTCAGACCTTCAGAAACTCCAGTTTAGCTCCCAAATATAGAAAAATCTCTCTATCTAAAGATATAAACTCCCTGGAGGCCAAAGCCTTCCTGCATGGCTAGCTTTTAAAACATTTTAGGAAACTTGACCTCAAACTAAAATCAGCATTTCAGCAAGGGTTACTTAGAGCCTTTGAGAAACTATATTTCATAAAAACACCAATTTCAGAAATATGTTGTTCTCTACTAATACACACAATTTGCTTTGTAAAAGAAATGCTTAGTCTTTTTCCAGTATTCTTTATCTTAGCTCAACGGAAAGACCATCTAATTGCCAGGCTAAAAACAGGGAATATTCCAGAATGCTCTCATTTTCCCCTCTCCTCCATTCCCAAAGGAGATGCATCACCACCACACCTACCCACCCTGTCTCTTGACTGTTTCACTTCTCCAACCCTTTGGTTTGGATTCTTACCAAATCCCAGGGGGTCCATGACAACAGCCTCCTAATACAACTCTCGGTCACCAATCTTACCTGTCTCCTAGCTGTTCCATACAAAACTGTAAGAGTAACCTCATTCATTCATTTAACAAATAACTACAGAGCCTCTACTATGCAACAGGCAGTGTTGCAGCACTGAAGATAAAGCAGTATACACAACCACTGCCCTCAGGACCACCCCACAGTAGTGTCAGACAAGTGCTAAGTGCCATGGAGGAAACAGAAAGCAGGCAGAGGGCCAGAGAGTGCTTGGGGGCTGGGTTATTTTGTCTAGAGTGGTCACCAAAGGCCTCATTCCAAAGGGGACATGTGAGCATGTCCTAGAGGAAGGGGAGTGAGCAAACATGTCAGGGGAAGCACATTCCAGGGAAAGCGGAAACAGGTGTACCACAGGAACATGTGCCAGGTGTATCTCAGGAGAGCAAGGAGGCCAGAGTGAATGGAGCACAATGAGCCAAGGGAACAATCATCAGAGGTAAGATCAGAGAGACCCCGTAGGCCCGCACAGACGCAGCAACAACTGAGAAGTTTGTCTGGAGTGAAATGAGAACAGTGTTTCTGTGTAGTAACTCCTTTCCAGAATTTAGTTGGAAATTTATAGGTTTTGCAGAATCCCTAGAAAAATCAGATGAGAAACAGCAAAAACAGTATTATAATTTTCTTGCTTGCTTAGCAATCAACATCAAGTCCACTGACAAGTCCAAAGCAAGCACAGGAAATGCCGTCCTGCAGAGGTAAAGGTTAAGGCCAACATTTCCGAGAACTGAGACAGGAGTGTGCAGAAGAGAAGAGCCCCAATCCAATCACTCAGTCTTCCTTGTAGCTGTTCCCATGTTCTAAGCGTGAGTTCGATGTCCTGTCTGCCGCCAAGGGTGAGTCAATATTGCAAATAAAATTAATATTAATAAGCTTCACATAGTAGGCTTTATACAAATACTGATTATATGCAGTGCTGTTAATCTTTCTAGAAGATCCAAATGTTAACACGATCAGATAATGCTCATAGGCATTTTCCAGTGCTTGAATATTCACTAGGGTACAGTTCTTTGTAAACAGTACATGTAAATACTATTGAACTTAGTATCACTTATTTATTAAATAATTTTTTAGATATTCACAATAATGAATAAAGAGCAAGAAGAATGTTGGAAGTATTTTAAAAAGATAAAGTAACTCAATTAGCTTTTTGCTAGCTATGTTTTAATCACAGAAGTATGAAGCATCATTATTAGTCATTTGGAAAAAGAATTCTTGAGTGATATGCTTTTAAAAGAAATTAGTAATAAATTGCTTACACATAGGAATAAAGATCTAGTACTGCCCACTAAATATTTAAGCAATATTAGTTGTTTATCTGAGGTGAAAAAAGAATAACTGTTTTGCTTTGGCAAACAAAAATAGCTCAATTACTAAAATTTTTAACGAAAAGACTTTTAAAAGGAAAATATGCTTTAGCAGAAGAAATGCAAAAAAAAAAAGGTAAATGTTGTAGAAATTAGAACCTGATATAAAATCTGAACTAGCAAAAATAAACACACAAACTCTAACAGCAAAAAAAAAAAAAAAAATGGCAGCCAAAAAAATTTGTATTGTTAGGTTT
This sequence comes from Homo sapiens, assembly GCF_000001405.40. Taxonomy (NCBI): domain Eukaryota; kingdom Metazoa; phylum Chordata; class Mammalia; order Primates; family Hominidae; genus Homo; species Homo sapiens. The sequence continues at coordinate 50,557,735 of NC_000010.11, forward strand.
ATATGAGCTTAGGAAACCTTAATCTTTTATAACAAGCAATCAGCATACCTGCCTTTTGCTGCATAGGAGACTCTACCCACTACTTCTAACTTCCAAGGCTACTATACAAACAAGAGAAACACATGGGGAATTATTTCCCAACTGTAGATGGACTGACAGGGAAATAAAGATAGGAGGAGAAGGAAAAACTCAGTAGGTTTTGAGTTTACAAAGGTAACTTACATAGACACCGTAAGTACCAAACTCTACTTCAGCCAATTAACTTATTTATATAATCCTCACAGCTGCCTTAAGAGACAGTTATTATAATTACCTTCTCTCACCTTGAAATTAAGAAACTGAGTCCCAGGGAAGTTAAGCTAATTGTCACACTGCAACTAAGTGGCAGAGCCAAAAGCAAACCAGATCCTGGCTGCAGCTGTATGCTAGTAACCAACACACCCTCCTGCCTCTGTGCTTCTTCAACTGAACCCTAGGACTTCTGAGTATGATGAGCAATTATGTGTTAATGGGTCAACGAACTCTCATTAACCTGATCATTGTTCTTATTACTATTTATTTGCAGATTTTTTAAATTATAAGGGTATTTCATTTGAAGGCACCATATGACCTTTCACTCCCATGTACTGAATCTAATTCCCAGACTGGAAGCTTCCCCATTTCTGCCATAAAAAGTGAACAGGTTACTCCTGGCTGCTTAAATTTCATGCCTGAAATATCCCGGATAAGCTGCTTGGAACGAGCCAAACATTACAATGAAAATGGGATCTGGCATCCTTTCCTGATTAATGGCAGGGCTGGATTCTGTCAGTGTTCAACGACATGAAATTCCAAGGCCTGGAACCAAATGTCCATGCTTTCCAGTAAGTACAGTTGACCCTTGCACAACACGAATTTGAACTACGTGGTCCACTTATACACAGATTTTCTTCTGCCTCTGCCAACCCTGAGACAGCAAACTTTCCTCCTCCTCCTCCTCAGCCTACTCAACATGAAGACAATGAGGATGGAGAACTTTATGATGATCCACTTCCACCTAATGAACAGTAAATATATTTTCTTTCATGATTTTCTTAATAACATTTTCCTTTCTCTAGCTTACCTACTGTAAGAATACAATATGTAATATGGATAATATACAAAATATGTCTTAATCAACTGTTTACATTTTCCGTAAGGTTTCCGGTCAAGAGTAGGCTATAAGTAGTTATGTTTTGGGGGAGTCAAAAGTTATACACAGATGTTTGACTGTGAGGGGTGGGGGTGCCTCTAACGCCTATGTTGTTCAACTTTATATAAGTCTCAAAGCTGCTGCAGACTGGCCCAGAGAAATCCATCCAGATAACACCTGGCAAAGGGAATGCTGATCTAAAACAGGTTATGATGCTAAGGGGAACTGGTAAACATGTCACGGGGTGCACATCACATATCAAAGGCCTGTTACTAAAACTACAAGAGTTACACAAGCCCCCCAAAATGTAATTTTACTTGCTATAATCTTTTACTTCAACTACTTTTGTTTCTTTAAGCAACATCAGTATCCAAACCACCAACCATACAACCACACAGCCCACCCTGACCCAGCTGCCAGAGGCGTACCCTACACTGTCATTCCAAATCACTTTTGATCACTTATCTTCCACATGTTTTCCATATCTGTAATCCTGTCCACAAAAGCAACCATATACAATAGATACTCATGCTGCTTTGGAAATGAAGAAGAGAAAGAATTAAATATAGCTCTCTTGGCCAATTCTCTGGACACAGAAGATCTATCAAACATACACTAGAATTAAACCCATTATTGATAAGGAAATTAAACTTTAAAGAAGTAACTTCTCCAGGGTCACGCAGATCTAAGTACAAACTGTTACCCTATCATCAGGGAGGTTTTAGAGGGTTTTCTCAACAGGGCCACCCTGCCCTTAGGGCACAGGAAATATCTTCCCAGTGGGAGGAATAAAGAAGAATCTCACATAGCAAACTCTGGGTAAACACTCATGGCTTGAAGTGGGTGGCTAACAGGCACATGGGACAAAAATATACATCATTGATGTCCCACTATTAGGAGTTTTTAAAAACAAAATCCATTCCCTTCTAGGTAAAATTATAAGTAATTCCAATTCAACTATGTAAACAGGAGGAAACATCTAACACCTCTTCTTTATACACAGGAAAAGAAAGTTTGTTAAAATAGAAGAAAGGAAATAAAGCAAGTATAAGTAGCTCAGAGAGAATGTGGTTTTGTAGTAGGAACTTTCACTATTTTTCCTTCGATTTGTTGCATACACGTGTATACACACAGATTTATATATATAAAATATAAATAATATAATATATAGACATATATTACCTTAGGTAATATAGATTATATAATATATTACATTATAACACATATGTAATATGTATTATATATAAAATAGACATATATTATACATTACATATATCAGAATATATGTGTATATATTATATATCGCATATATATTACATAATATATAACATAATATTATGTAATATACATAATATCTAATGTATGTAATATACAGTATATGTATTATAATATATGCATATATTACATATTATTAATATTATATATTATTAATATTATTAATAATATATATTATAATACATATTATATATTATATGCATATAATATATGCATATATTATAATACATATATTACATAATATGTGTATTGTACTTATGTATATAATATATACATAAAACATATAATACATATATGTAATACATATTACATAATACATAAATACATATTACATATTATATAACACATATAATACATAATATTTATGTGTAATATATTATATGACATATATACATAATACAAATATACATAATATATGGCATATAATACACAATATATGTAATATAGTATATATTAATATATAATATGTAATATAGTATATGTTACACATATTACATAATATATGTTACATATATACATCTGTGTATATACGTGTAGGAAAAATTTATTTTTCCTTCATTACATAATATATACATAAACATCATAGTATACATATAGTTTTGTTTTTTCTTGCTGACTCTAGCCATACAATTGCCAGGTGTTAATGCCAGACACTGAGCAAAGTGAGGAAAGAACATTTGCATCCAGTGCCTTTATACCGTTTTCCTAACAGTTTTTAAAGGCTGCATTACTCGGCAAGGGACAGAAAAGTCCTGCTGTGTGTCTTAATCTCTTTATGTTATATTCACATCTTGTTATTTGAGAATTATCTCTGAGCACTGAGACTAAGCAGAGCCTCATAAATATTAGTGCTTATATTGGCAGATATAAACTTTGGAACCCATAGTTTAAGAACTAGTTAACTGGTACAATTGACAGAAACATAATAAGACTATGAGTTAAAAGGCCTAGTTTCTAAACCTTGGAGTTGTGATACGACCTCAGGAAAAATCAACATTTCTCTGGGTCTTTTGTCACTTGCTAAATGGCATGTGAATGTTTACCGTGTTTTGGGCACCAGTCCCAGCATTTTGCATACATCAACTCATTACAATACCAAAACAGTACAATGAAGTAGGTATCACCACCCTCATTTGACAACTGCGGAAACTGAGGCACTGAGTAATACAGCTAGTATCAACTGGCAGAGCATGAATGTAACACAGTCCATCTGGGTCCAGAGCTCAGTCTCTTAATTAACCACGAGCACTGCTGGGTTAGAGGATTTCTGGGATTCCTTCCAGCTCAAACCTTCTATGATTCTGAAATGCTAAGAATGAGCTGTGCTTAGTTCGTCACATTGATGCCAATTTCTTGAAGTTGCTCAATGACCTTCGCAAGTAACAAATCCTTAATCTTTATAAATACTGAAAGATTTAAAGCAGCTACCACAGACACCGATTACAGACACTCACTTTAATGAAAGGTCAACTTAAAATGAACTAGAAATCCATGTGGTGCTTGCAATGCTTCTTGTTTATCCAATTCTCAATTGATGTAGGAGAACTAAGTTAACTGAACTGAAAGGTGGAAGGAAGCAAGACAGAGAAATATTTTGCTTTTGGAATAACTGAGACTGGAAATTAACCACAGCCAGCTTCAAGGCTCACCAGCTGATCTCTACTCACTAATATTTCAAGTGGACCTCTCCCCACAGAGGACCCCAAAAGTACACCCACTACCCCACTCCCAGACAAGGCAAGGAAGGAAGGAGGGGTTGCAATGACATCTCCGAGCCACCAGAGAGCATATCTTCATCTGGGTTCAGAACATTTTACAAAACAGGTGAGTTGAAATTTGAGACTCTTCCAGGAGAGTATGAAAAAATCCACCCTAGTTCATGTGTATTTCTTTTTCTCAAATCAGCAAATATGTCTCAGGCCTACGCTTTCTTTTCTTTCTTCTTTAAAAGTCCCAGTTTCTCCACAGTCCAACTCAACCTTCACCAAAATGAATGAATGAAACTACCACTCTAGATCAGAGATTCTAGGATTCAACTATGCACAAAAATGGTTATGTGATTAAAATGCAGATTCCTGGCCTCCACACCTATAGATTATGGTTTGGTGTATCTGCTACAGGACTCAGGAATTTACATTTCTGACAAACACTCTCTGAGTGTGTGTGTGTGTGTGTGCGCGCGCGCACACACACACACTCACACACGGGCGCGCATGCGCACTCTTACACGCACCCACTACCACAATCACCTTCCCCCCACCACCTCTCTGACACAGGTGGTTGGTAGACCATGTTTGAAAAACACTATTGCAGATGCTGTAAGAGGAAAGTTACATCTCTTTTAAATCACAGGCTAAATATTGTCTCCACACTCTTTTTTTGAGACGGAGTCTCGCTCTGTCGCCCAGGCTGGAGTGCAGTGGCGCGATCTCGTCTCACTGCAAGCTCCGCCTCCCGGGTTCACACCATTCTCCTGCCTCAGCCTCCCGAGTAGCTGGGACTACAGGCGCCCGCCCCTATGCCCGGCTAATTTTTTTGTATTTTTACTAGAGACGGGGTTTCACCATGTTATCCAGGATGGTCTTGATCTCCTGACCTCGTGATCCGCCCGCCTTGGCCTCCCAAAGTGCTGGGTTTACAAGCGTGAGCCACCGCGCCCGGCCGTCTCCATACTCTTTAGGAACTAGAGGGTTTGCTCCGTGTCCCTTTTTCTTGTGCATCTGCCTGTGATTCCAGGTGCACTCTCTGCAAAACAGACTTCCCTGCTCGATCTGGTCACTGTTTTGGTCCTTACTAGGTAAGCTCTGTCTAGCTCTTCCTGTAAAAAGAAAACCTCTGCATTAAAGTTCCCGACAGCTTCATGAACTCATTCCCAGAATCAAACATGAGCCTAGAGAGCATGAGAGCAGTAATTTCATTAACGAACTAGTAAGTAGCTCACCAGATGCTGGCTTCCTGTTAGGCACTCTGCAGCATCTAGTGCCTGTGGCAGTACAAGATGGACCTCTGAGTCCTCGTGGTCGGCCCCGGGCACTGCTTTCAAACCCATCATTCTATAGACAGGTGGGAAGGACGACCTACCATACTCCAAGACCATGCCTACAGGGCGGGCAGTCTGTACACACAGGGCAAACGGTCTTGTAGCTACTGAAATAACACAATGCTGATGTATTGCTAATTCAATTACAGGAATGTATTATACCATTGTTAAAATGAACTTCTATAAAACACAATGATACTAAAAACCACGTTAAATCCTCTTACATAAGAAACTCTTTTGAGGCCGGGCGCGGTGGCTCACGCCTGTAATCCCAGCACTTTGGGAGGCCGAGGCGGGCGGATCACGAGGTCAGGAGATCGAGACCATCCCGGCTAAAACGGTGAAACCCCGTCTCTACTAAAAATACAAAAAATTAGCCGGGCGTAGTGGCGGGCGCCTGTAGTCCCAGCTACTTGGGAGGCTGAGGCAGGAGAATGGCGTGAACCCGGGAGGCGGAGCTTGCAGTGAGCCGAGATCCCGCCACTGCACTCCAGCCTGGGCGACAGAGCGAGACTCCGTCTCAAAAAAAAAAAAAAAAAAAAAAAAGAAACTCTTTTGATGGAACCCATCCTATGCAATCAGTCCCATAGTGACTGGGGTTTAAATTACAGGAATCCACAGGCCCAGGGTTTCTGATTACACTTGCGTGTGCTATGGAATGAAGGTACTGACAACCTACCTCCAAGTGCCAGGAGCAGCCTGGATGATGGCTCCCAGGGCTCCCAGGCCAGTCCTTACACCAGATCCTGCAAGCAGGCGCCGCCTAGAGCCTGTGAGAAACCAGGCCTCAGGCCAAACGCCATAGCCTCCCCTCTAACCTGATGTTAAAATGCAGAACACAACACCCTTGCACCTAAACACATTCCTGTGACAGCCACATTAGCACAGACTTTAACCATGACAACCCGAGAGACCATGTGTCAGCACACTGGCTTTCCTGAATCCACAGGTAGAAAGGATTTGGCACAGTGTGAGACAGAAAACACATGCTGCAAGGAAGTGACTAAAGGTCAGGATTGTGCTTACCTTTGAGGGAAAGGGGGTCATGACTGGGAATGGGCAGAGCGGGCTTCTAGAGGGCTAGCAAATGTCTGTTTCCTGACCCGGGTGGTGGCAACTTGTCTTCACTTTGTGATCATAAATTTGTTTTATATTCTTTAAACTGCGCGACATTGTTTAAAGGCACCTGCAATATGACATTACTGCTAAACCAATACTCTAGTTTTTCCTCTTGGGATCACACATCTCTAATGACCATGGGGCCAGTAAGACCACAAGCACGTGAGATGATCAGAACTCAGCAATGTTCCCACAGGTGGGCATACACCCCGTAGCAAAGTCATTTGTTTATAAAGCTCTCAAAGCTATGCAACTCAAATGTAGTGGTAGTTAATGTGGCACTTTATGAGCAAGAAAGAACATTCAAAAAATGAGAATTACCCACAGTTAATGGATTACAATAAAATAATGTTCTACTCATTGTCAAAATGCCATAGGGCAGCAGAAAATGAGACAATGGCAGATAATCAGATTATTTTTTTTATTTTTATTTTTATTTATTTATTTTTTAAGTTTTTTTTTCTTTTATTATTATACTTTAAGTTTTAGGGTACATGTGCACATTGTGCAGGTTAGTTACATATGTATACATCAGATTATTTAAAAGGGCTACGTTCACACTGGATGAACTTGCCCTAGTGCCCTCTCTGGTCTTCATGTCTCTCCACCATTCTCAGCTGGCTGCAGGTTTTGCCCCTTTCCTGGCACCCACTTTCTCCAGCCCCATATTGTAAGTCATTTGAGGGTTGGGGGAAGGGTTAGCAGAAGTAACTTTCTTCTTTTCCTCAATGGACTTCAAACTTTTTTTATCCTCCAAACGCTTTCCTTTGTCAGTTTTTTATTAAACAAGCAAGATATTTACATATCATTGCCTACCTTTCTTTCTCTCTAGAGTGAGTTTTGAAGGCACACAAATTGTCTTACTTAACTCAGTATCCCTGGGCTTAGTACACAGTGTCTTATACCTAGCAGACACACAATAGGTCTTCAGAGAATGCACTAAAAAAATAAAAAATATATATTTTTATACAAAATCACATGTGTCATCTATACTGCCACTGAAGAACTTCCTGCTGCTGTAAAAAAGATGACAATGTAATCTACATCAGGGCAGTACTGACTTCTACTGTATCTGCTTGGAACAGAAAGTAAGCAGCACCCTTTGGGGTGGAGATTGGGAAAGCATTTGTCAATGCCACCATTTATGTTACACAAAAGATACGTCTGGAAAGAAGTGGTTAAGGGCATGGGTTTGGAAGTCAAGCACAATGAGTTAAAATCTCAACTCTACCGAAAGTGTCCTGGATAAGCAACATATACGCTCTGAACCCTTCATTTCTGCCACAAGCTGCCAATTCCTAGGAATGACATAGCGTCTGACTCCTTTGCCTCAAGTTGGCGTCAGATGCCTCCATCTTCTTCCTCTAGGAAGTCAACATAATAGTGTCCAGGGTCTGAGTTGCCTACGTTGGGGGTGAGTACTAGTGGAGGTTAGGGGGCAACCTCATCAGGGATGCTGAGAAGGCCATCACTTCCTCCATCCCCGGCACCCAGTGTGTGCCCGTGACGATCAGGTGCTCCCACTCAGGACCTGGAAGCTGGAGCAAGCAACATAAGGAGACAGAGACAGAGGAGAATATGGAGATAACCACACTTACAGTGTCTGAACAGTGTCATCAGGGTGTCCTCACAAGGTGACACCAGCACAATGGTAGCTCACTGTTCCTATGGTATGGTTTTTGTTGTGGTTCTGGCAACCCAGTATTCCTTTGATAACTGCTGGATATTCTTTCAATAACTGCTTTTTCTGCTTAAGTTCTCATTTGCAACCAAGAATACATGGATGGGGTGGGAAAGTTTTGACAACCTTTGGCTTTCATAAGTGCAGGAGATGACAAAAATAAAACATCAAAAGAAGTGAAGCCAGAGAAGTGGTAACTTAGAAAACAAAACTGAGCAAAGATTTATACTGCAAAAGTAAAATTCAATGAGTCTGCCCCACTCTTTTTTTTTTAACCTTTAACCTTTGTGTTTGTTAAAGTATGAGGTATGTTTGCTGACAAACCTCCTTTGTTTGTGAAAACAGATGCTTTCTCTATTTGCCTGACACAGCAGAGGACACTAAAACCAGAAAACATATTGATTTTTACTTTACTCTGTTGACAGCTTCTTCTGTTTTTAAATTTCTCTCTGATTCTTGTATACTGGAAGGCTATGGGTTATTAAACCCCCTCACATTCAGTTCGGTTTAACAAATCTTTATTAAAGGACTACTTTATGCAAACACTATGGTATGCACTTATAGCCAAACTCATCACAAATGGAGATATTTCAACTCAAATTCAACTAGAAATTCTGTAATTAATGCTGGAAAATTTTTATTTTAAATAGAAAACAGCAACCATTTTGTGAGCATTCTGAGTTATACACAGTACGGTGGTCCCTCAGTATCCACAGGGGATTGGTTTCAGGACCCCTGGCAGACACAAAATCTACAAAGCTTAAGTCTCTGATGTAAAACGGTGAAGCATTTGCATATAACCTATGTGCATCCTCTTAAATATTTTCAGTCCTCTCTAGATTACTTATCAATCCTAACACAACGAAAATGCTTTGTAAATAGTTGTTATACTGGTTTTTGTTTTGTTTTGTTTTGTTGTTGTTGTTGTCGTTGTTGTTGTTTTTGAGACAGAGTCTCACTCTGTTGCCTGGGCTGGAGGGCAGTGGCGCGATCTTGGCTCACTGCAATCTCCACCTCCAGGGTTCAAGCAATTCTCCTGCCTCAGCCTCCCAAGTAGCTGGGATTACAGGCACCCGCCACTACGCTCAGCTAATTTTTGTATTTTTACTAGAGACGGGGTTTCACCATGTTGGCCAGGCTGGTCTCGAACTCCTGACCTCGTGATTCACCTGCCTTGGCCTCCCAAAGTGCTGGGATTACAGATGTGAGCCATCGCACCCGGCCTATACTGTATTTTTTATTGTGGTATTGCTATCTTTATTGGGGATTTTTCCCCTGAATATTTTCAACCCATAGCTGGTTGAATCCTCAGATGTGGAACCACAGATATGAAGGGCTGACCGTATATTCTAGTGGTGTAAAACCAAGAAGTTCCTGGTGACCCATGAGCCAAATGCAACCCACAGACAGGTTTGGTTAACACACATGATGTTGGTGCTTTTTAAGATTTTTAATCAGTGACTTTAAAATCTGGATTTCCATGAAAATTGGAAGATCACCTCCCCACCCCCACTTGGGCTGCCACCTGGCAACGAGGAACAGGCTCCAAGCAGCAGCTGCTCCTATTATACGGGGCAGGCGGCTCTCCAGTGTGTCTGAGTGCCCAACCTCCACTGTTATCTAACATCTGACCCACTTTGCCAATTTATGTTACCTGCATGGTCCTGAGAGGCCTTAGAGTTTGGGATTCTTGTTTTAGACACATCACAAAGTGAGCTTAACAAAATAAACATAGACACTCACATGCACACACTTATTTCAAATGCTTCAATTTTCTTTTTCCACAGGGGGAAAAGGGGGGAAAAGATATCCCTTCCTGCTTCAATCAAACAATCCTTGGATTTCAGACTTTCCAGAAATATTAAATTTCTAAACCACTGTATTTCTTATTTCATCACTGTATTTTTCATTTAAACGTTTTTAGAAAATGACAAAATATTGTTTTGCCTCTCCATTTTATTCACTTGCCACCTTTAAGGTTTGGGGGAGGGGGTTGGGGACATTTGTCTAGTTCTCTAGAAAAAAAGCAGGTGGGATAAGAATTTCACAATTTTCTAAACACTTTTGCTTTGACCATCACATACCTAAAATATATCAAACATCCGAATCTTATAAACAAAAAGCATCTAGTACCATAAGAGCAATATTTTTAAACAGGTGCATGTATACATTTTTATTTCTTCCAAACGTTTTCTTCCTCCCAGTAAAAGAAGGAAGATAAATTTTCCCACTTTTTATTCTTACATAGCATCAAACAGAGCTTGAAAATAGCCACCAAAAAAAGCTTGGTAAATGCATGAATGCTTGGATGAAGGAAGAATGGAATGAAGGAATGAACACTTGAAAGAACAAAACAACATTATTTTTGAGCCAAAGGGAGCCACCAGCGTCCCTTGCTGTCTACCCTCCAGTTGCCTAAATTCCCTTCCTTCACTATGTCTAAGCCCATCCCTTCAGAATTCCCATCATTCCCATCCAATTCATCAGTTTTAGGTTCACCTTCCTAAACTGCCTTACTCTACTCAAAGCAAAGACTGAAGGCGGTGCTGTGGCTTGTGCCTATAGTTCCAGCTACTCAGGAGGCTGAGGCAGGAGGATCACTTGAGTCCAGGGTTCCAGAAGAGCCTGGGAAACACAGTGAGACCCCATATCAAAAAAAAGTAAAGTTTGTTTTGTTAAAAGATAGTACACACAAATTATTTTTACAACACTGTAAACACTTTTCCCCTATATTAATGAAGGTAAGCAACCTACAGTACACCAACGTGTCATTTCTTTGTTGAAAAGAAGCAAGGAATGTAAGTGCTGTGAGGGCGCTTACAGACATAGTAAAGAGTGTGCAGCCCTGTTCACAATAGTAAAGACTTGGAACCAACCCAAACGCCTGTCAATGACAGGCTGGATAAAGAAAATGTGGCACATATACACCATGGAATACTATGCAGCCATAAAAAAGGGTGAGTTCATGTCCTTTGTAGGGACATGGATGAAGCTGGAAACCATAATTCTCAGCAAACTAACACAGGAACAGAAAACCAAACACCGCATATTCTCACTCATTCATAAGTGGGAATTGAACAATGAGAACACATGGTCACAGGGAGGGGAACATCACACACTGGGGCCTGTCGGGGGGTGGGAGCCTAGGGGAGGGATAGCATTAGGAGAAATACCTAACGTAGATAACAGGTTGATGGGTGCAGCAAACCACCATGGCACGTGTATACCTGTGTAACAAACCTGCACATTCTGCACATGTATCCCAGAACTTAAAGTATTAAAAAAAAAAAAAAAAAAGAGTGGTTTAGACGTTCACTTTTTTGGAAAGGATGAAAAGTAAGGATGCCAGGGAATGGAGGAACCTGACATAGCAGAAAGAAGACTGGTTTTAGAGTTGGTAGAAAGTTCTTTCTATCCTTCCTGTATAAACCAGTTGTTAGGTTCTCTGGGTTAGGTAGGGACTCTGCAGTTTCTTCCTTCAAAAATCTCTCCCATGGAAATGGTGCTCCACTGGCCTAGCTCAGCATGAGTAGGAGGTAGCAAACAGCTTTACTGGTCATTTGTCTGCTTTGGTTTAGTGCACTGTGGGGTAGATTTCTTATCAGAAAACAGGTATGTCATCTCTAGAAAGAAGAAAAAACATGGTAGCTCAATTTCCCCCAAACAAATAATTTTTAAAAATTTTTAAAGAAAAACAAAGTTTTTTCTACCAGGGAAGCAATAGCATGTGGTCATTAAAATCATGGACCTCAGAACTGAGGTCAGTGCTGATTCAGCCACTCCTATGCAAGCTGGATGGTAGCTTCCCCTCCTAAAGTCTTCATGTCCCCTCCAAAGAAGCTGGGGTGATCCCTCCCTTAGGAGGCTAGTGTAAGCCTGTAACAAGACCCCAAGACTGCATCTGGCACCTAGCAGGCCACGGTGACAATAATTGTGGTTAATCTTCTCCCTTGCTCTTTTTCAAGGCCGCCTGCTGACCTTCTAGGAATTTATGGTTACATTTCTTAAAACCATTTTACATTAACAAAGCACTGCTAACTGTGGACCCTCCAAGGAAAAGATGTCATGAAAACTAATGGAAAGCTTTTCTAGGTTTCCCAGCTTCTTATTCCCCGAGCAAAATGCTGGAAAAATAGAAGGTATTAGCCTCATAGTCTTTACTAATTGAACCAGCCTTCCTTACTTGCAGAAAAAGCCACACGACAAGCATCTCAACGTCTTGGTCTCTCAATACCAAAGGTACTAAAGGATGAGGGCTCAATTATGCAAACATCACTGTGCTTAACAGAAACCCTCTTCCAGTAAATCCATTATTAATCCTCAGGTCAATCCTTACAATGTTAATGATTCAGAGGAAATGGGCATTCCTTGTAGACTTCAACTATTATGACATTTTAAAAAATAATCTTGAGAAAAATCAACATAATCTGGACCTTATGAGTATAGCTAGTGCCACTGCATTACATGTGAAATTCTTTTTAAAAATAAGAATAAAGACCCAATGAGTGAAATGAGAGACAGGCCCAATCAAGGTCTATGAGCCACTGGTCTGTACTCATGGTGCCCTATTAAGGTCCTAATAACATAGTATTGAGGGCCTTTTGATTCTCTGCTATTTAAAAAAAGGGTAGAGCCACGCAAAGTGGCTCACACTTAACAATCTGAGCACTTTTGGAGCCCAAGGCAGGAGAATTGCTTAAGCCCAGGACTTTGAGACCAGCCTAAGCAACATAAAGATCCTATTTCTACAAAAACTTTTTAAAAAACATTAGCCAGGCATGGTGGCATGTGCCTGTAATCCCAGCTACTCAGGAGGCTGAGGTGGGGGGATCACTTGAGCTCAGGCAGTCAAGGCTACAGAGAGCTATGATCACACCACTGCACTCCAGCCCGGTCATCAGACAACAGAGAGACCCTGTCTTTAAAAAATAAAATAATACATTTTTAAATAAAATAAATTAAAATTTATTAAATGGTAAAAGAAACTGATTCTACCCATGATCCTTCTGGATAAGCTAACTGCCAAGACAGTCTTTGCCTCTGGCAAGAATTTTACCAAGTCCAACTGCAAACACTTGTTATCCCTTGCTGACCAAAGTTCTAATCAAATTACTAGCAAGAAATAGAATAACCAATAGCTGCCTAATAAATTTTTTTATAAACAAATACTTTTTCCTTTAGTGTCCATGAAGGAAAAGCAAACTTAAATAAGTAAAAAGATTAAGAAAATATATCTACATGAGGCTACTTTGCTATTGCCCAGGCAGCTCACATTCCCTCCCCTAGAAATGTCATGAACAGACCAATATCAATTTCAATAGTTAAGACTTTAAAGGAATGCAATGGTCATTAAGAAAAGACAAAGGCTGAAGACTCAGAAGGATATTAACTAAGGAAAGCAAATTGGAATCGGGATACAATTTAAGCAAAGCCTGGCACCTTTTCCATTTCCTGCAGTGAGTCCTGCTGTATCTGGGAGGTTGGCACACGGAGAGTGGCACCACATAGTGTCCAGCACATCACAATATTTGAGTATACTTACAGAATAATATAGTAATATATAATAGAATGATAATAACATCTGCTGTGTATTTAACGCATACTATGTGTCAGGCATGTACTAAAGCACTAGACATATCTAATGTGCATATATATACACATATATATGACAGATATAAAAATCTGTATATTTATGTGGGTATAAAACCAATATTTATATATAGAAATCTTATGAATGTGTAAATACACACATAAGTATATGCACACATACATATAATCTCATTTAATCCTTAAAATCACTCCGAGGCAAATGGCATCCTCATTTTGCAGGTAAGAAAAATAGGAGTTTAGAAGGTTAAGTAACTTTGATACGGTCACAGTCACAGCAATTGCACCTAGATCTGTCCCATCTGTTTCAGAACCTGGGCTCTTACACATCACCAAAGAAGGTTCTAATGACAACTGAAGACCAACAAAGGAAAATGAGAGAGAATCTACCACCATGTATCTTGTAACAGTTCTGACAACAAGGTCAGCCACCTATCTCTTTAGCTAGGAAGAGAATTGCATCAGGTATTCTCTGGCCCCTGACCACACTGTGTTGTGTAAGTCCAGGACCCAGGACAAAGGCCACCTCCTGCAGGGTTGTGTCCCTTCTTCTAGGCAAAATGAAGCAACTTCTGAAACTACCTGGAATTAGCTTTGTAACCAAGGATACTAGAGTACTGTAGAATACAAGGTAACCCAAACACCACAGGTTTTCCAGATAATTGAGTAATCAGAGTCTATGCGCCCTCCTTTTGTGAGGGAAGGGTGGTAACGAGGTAAATCTCCACCTGCTGCTTGTTCTCTAACATTCTCATCCATTTGCCAACACCTAAAAAATTCACAATTCCTTGCCTGTGAAATGACAGAATTCACTGTTTCAAATGTGCTCTGCAGTGTTGTCAAGGTCTCTTCAGTTGTTATGGGAGGGGAGGTAGGAGATGGGTTGGGGGAAGAAGGGAGAGAGAGAGGAGAGGGGTGATGGGAGGGACCCTTCCACCCCAGCAGCTACACAATCATCTGTTTTGTACACTGAGTTTTTGCATAAGAATGTATTTGAAGAACAGTTTTCATTTCTAAAACTATGACTCTATGCCTTTGCCAAAATAAATAGAAAACACTGTACTGCAAAGATGCTTAGGTTGCTTGATTTTTTAAAAACCAAATACACATAAATTGTGAGTGCCTATCAGTTAGAAAAAGATCCTTTTTGTATTTATATAGTAATGAAATAAATTATAGGACCTGTCTCATCTCCACCATTTAAAACAGAACACAAATCAGCGTTTTCAACACCAAGAGAGAACCCTCCAGAAGACCTAGCACCCCTAGACTAGCTTTCCTCTCAGAACTTTCTGTCCCTATTATCACTGTTGCACCAGGGTAAACATTCTATGTACCTTGAAAGTTTGGCCCAAATCACATGATCATCTCAATAGCTGCAGAAAAAGCATCTAACAAAATTCAACAGGATGTTTTAAATTTCACCATAAAAACTGTCAAATTAAGTATAACTTACCCCAACAAAATAAGGGTCATACATGAAAAGCCCATAGCTAACATCATACTCAATGGAGAAAAACTGAAAGCTTTTCCTCTAAGATCTGGAATACACAAGAATGCCCCACACTCACTACTTCTATTCAATATGGTACGAGACGTCCCAGCCAGAGCAATGAGGCAAGAAAAGATATAAAAGGTATCCAATGTAAAACTATCTGTTTGCATATAACATAATCTTATATGTAGAAAACCCTAAAGATCCTACCAAAAAACTGTTAGAATAAATGAATTCAATACAAAAACAATGAGTTGTGTTTCTGTACACCAACAAAACAATCCAAAAAGGAAACTAAGAACAACTCATTTACAGTAGCACCAAATAGAATAAAATACTTAGAAATAAACCTAACCTGGGAGGTAACATACTTGTACACAAAACTATAAAACTTTGCTCATAAATGTAAAGATTTCGTGTATTCATGGATAGGAAGAATTAATATTGCTAAAATGTCTATACTACCCAAAGCAATTTACAGTTTCAATGCAATCCTGATCAAATTCCCAAAGAAAATTTTTTACAGGAATAGAAAGACAAAAATCCTAAAATTTGTATGAAACCACAAAAGGCCCCAAATAGTCAAAAGAATTTTAAGCAAGAAAAACAAAGAACAAAGCTGGAAATATCACACTTCCTGATCTCAAAATATATTATGAAGCTACAGTAATGAAAACATTATGGTACTGGCATAAAGATAAACATACAGATCAATAGAACAGAATAAACAATGCAGAAATAAACCCATGTACATATAGCCAATTGATCTTCAAGAAAGGTGCCAAGAACACACAATGGGGCAAGGATAGTCTCTTCAATAAAGGGTTCTGGGAAAGCTGGATATCTATATCCAAAAGAATGGAATTGAACCATGTCTTACATCATATACAAAAATTTACTCAAAATGGATTAAGGATTTGTACATAAGATCTGAAACTATACAATTCTTAGAAGAAAACACAGGGGGGAAGCTTCTTGATATTAGATTTGGCAATGATTCCTTGGATATAACACCAAAAGCACAGGTAAGAAAAGCAAAAATAGATATGGTATACAGCAAAGAAAAGAATCAACGGAGTGAAAAGGCAACCTATGGAATGGGGGAAATATTTGCAAACCTTATATCTGAAAAAAGATTAACATCTATTACATATAAAGAACTCCAAAAACTCAATAGCAATAAAAACAAATAACCCAATTTAAAAATGAGCATTGAACAGACATATCTCCAAAGAAGACATCCAAGTAGCCAAGAGGTTTATGACCAAATGCTCAACATCACTAATCATCAGGGAAATGCAAATCAAAACCACAATGAGATATCACCTCACACCTGTGAGAATGGCTATTATTTAAAAGACAAAAGATAACAAGTGCTAGTAAGGTCAGGGAGAAGTTGGAACCCTTGCACACTACTGGTGGGAATGTAAATTGCAACTGCTATAGAAAGCAAGATAGAAATTTCTCAAAAAGTTAAAAACTACCATATGACCCAGTGATCCCACTTGTGGGTATATATCCAAAAGAACTGAAATCAGGATCTTGAGGAGATACCTGCATGCTCATGTTTATCACAACATTATTCACAACAGCCATGATATGGAAACAATACAGAGGTCCATCAACAGATGAATGGATAAAGAAAAATGTGGTACCGTAGGAAGATGTTGAATGTTTCCAACACAAAGAAATGACAAATGTTTCCGATGATGAATATGCTAATTACCCTGATCTGATCACACCACATCATATGTATTGAAATCTCACTATGTATCCCATAAGTACATGTAATTATTATATGTCAATTAAAAGAATAAACATTTTAAAAGGAAAATGTGGTGTATATATATATATATATATATAAAACAAAGTATTACTCAGCCTTAAAAAAGAGGAAAATTCAACCATGTGAAACAACATAGACGTGGAAGACGTTATGTTAAGTGAAATAAGTCAGTCACAGAAGGACAAATACTACATGATTACCAGGGAACGGGGGTGGATATGGGCAGCTGTTGTTCTATAGATATGAAGTTACATACAAAACAAAATGAGTAAGTTCCATACATAGTACAACATAGTGTACAATATAGTGCCTATAGTTAACAATAAGACATTATGCACTTAAAAATTTAAGAAGGTATATCTGGGCCAGGCACAGTGGCTCACGCCTACAATTCCAACGCTTTATAAGGCTATGGTGGGTGGATCACATGAGGCCAGGAGTTCGAGACCAGCCTAGGCAGCCTAGCAAGACCCCATCTCTATAAAATAAAAAAATTAGCCAGGCATGGTGGTGCACACCTGTAGTTACTTGGGAAGCTGAGGCAGGAGGATCCCTTGACCCCAGGAGTTCCAGGCTGCAGTGAGCTATGATGGTGCCACTGCATTCCAACCTGGGCGACAGTGAGATGCTGTTTCAAAAATAAATAAACTTTAAAAAGAGGGTATATCTCACATTAAGTGTTCTTACCCCCGTCACCCTCCTCCCCCCACACACAAAGGACACAGGAAACTTTTGGAGGTGATAGATATGTTTATTATCTCGACTGTGGTGGTGGTAATACAATACAAGTGTATACATATGTCCAAACTCATCAAATTGTATACATTAATTATGTGAAGGTTTTTGTATACAAATTATATCTCAATAAGGCTAGGGAAAAAACAAAAGCAAGAAAGCTATGGCCCAAGCATAAATACATTTCCAATACCTTCTGAAAGGCTTTTTAAGTTCCACAGAAAATCAAAACAGAAATAAAGGAAAGAAGTATAACTGTTCATGTTAACACATGTTTCTGATCTTCCCAGAGCTGTTTTACTCCCAGAGCCCTAGCCCCATTCACATCCTGCCTGAGCTATGTCCACTACAGCACCAACCTCAGCGGCATCTGCCTTGCCTCTTCCTTTCCCTCTGGCATCACTTCCCATGTTAGAGAGAGTGGAACCTACAGACACTTTCCCAGCAAAAGTCAAGCAGGAGATGGGAACCACACCAACCACCTAACACTGTATTACTCGGCCCCAGCTTCTGATCCATGAGGTACCCACTGAGAAGACAGGTAATGGATGTGCTGAGGCAGCTCACCCTGCAGGTGAGACCCAACTTCTTTAAACACAATGGCCAGTTCATCCTCATTATAGACCCAACAGTAAATCTCTCAGAGAATGTCATAACTGTGACCTCCACACAGGCATCATATACTGAGGTCTCTTGTGAAAAGCCAGCAACCTCTGAAGCCCCTGATCGAGTACACTCATCTCAGAGTCACCCTTGTCCCCACTTTCCTCCCAGCAGCCACCACAGCTGCCACTGGAGGAGCACGCCCCTTTTGGCAGAATAGCCAAATTCCATAAATGCCACCCTTTCTTCTCATCCCCCTCCAAAAGCAGGGGGAGTCCCATAATAGATAGAATATTTCATTCATGCTCTGTCTGAAGAACAATTTTTCCCATAGAAAAGCTGGGCACGTGAATTCTCAACCAGATGAGGGGCCTATTCATAACAATCTCAAATGACTAATGACAAAGCTGTTGTCTGTCTCATAATAGCTCACAAATTTTTTGAATCAGAAAATCATCTATGTCATAAGTGCAACCCTTATTTCCGGAGAGCACTTTTGATGTCACCCATTGCACCACATGTATATACATAAGCTTCTGCCAATAGAAGTGTGTTAAAGAATCCAAATTATAATTACCACATGCTAAGTGCCAACACCATGGTGGCAAAAGAAAAGAATGTGAAACAATGGTTGTCCTATGGGCAAATAATCTAAATCCACTTGGAAACTGTAAGTATTTGGCTCTTCCTTGGCTCTTTTATCCTGTCATCTATAAATACTGCATAGAGCTGGGACTTAAAGCCCTGGGAGTGAACTAGTTCTAGGCAAGATCAGAAACTGGTAGTATCTACAAAGAACAGTGATAGTTTTCCTTTTCATAAAAAAGGTTTAGTTTCTTTGGCTGGCCCTCAGAATTCAGAGGAGTCTTTTGGAAGACTCAGGCTGCTTCCGTTAAGCTAGGGGTAACTTGCTTGGGCTGGAGCTTTAAAAGTGCACTTGTGGCAGAGGCAACAACTGTGATGATCAACGGGGATGACACAGCTCAGGAAAACCCAATCTGGGTGATGGTCAGTTAATTTGTCATCTTCTGCATGGTTCCCTCTTAGCAATAAAAACCCTTGTCTATGTCTTTAATGGACATAGCTCCTACAGTTCATTTCACTACCATATACATTAGGAACAAGAAGACAGATTTGGAGAGCATGAAGAAGACATAAAAAAAGTATAGAGAAAGGCAGGAGTAGCTAATTAAACAACAACAACAACAAAAGGTCCCTTTCCTAACGTGCAAGAATTCGTAATTTATTCATATTTAGTCCTTTTAAGAAACCCAACAAACAACCAGGCATCTCTGCAGTACTGTCCTTCCTCTTAATTTTAATGCAACCTCAAAATAATATAAAAAATTACCCCTAGATTGTTTGTGGCTTTAATAACAAGAGAGAAAGGAACTTTCTATATTTAGGAAACCTCTGAATCTGATTTCCTCAAAGGTTCATAGAGTAATAACAGGCCAACGCTTTTAAGTGGAAAGCAATTTCTCTGTTTTGCACACAGCCCTGCACATGCAAGGGGAAGTATCTTGGGCAAGCTTCCATAGCAATCAGCATGAAAGCAGAGAGGCTTTCCTTTCCTTTCCTTTCCCAGTGGTGAAGTTACAGCTATTAAAGGGCTGCTACTGCACAGAGCTGCGAAGCTTGTGAAGGGGACTTCTGTTATCTAATCAGCGCCAGGGCCAGAAATGACCATGTTGGTTACTACACAATGACTAAGTGTTCCAGTAAGCTAGAAGGAAGGACTGGTATTTGACAGAGGATACATGTAACGTTCAGAAAAGACAAGAAGCAACTGAGCTTATCACCTCAAGGAGCAGATCATGAAATAATCCAAGGTCAGTTAGCCTATAGTAAAAGAACCACTCTGCTCTTCTAAAACTGCTTAATTTTTGCAGAGACCTGCTATCAGAAAGGCTAACAATAGCTTTTTACCTGTTCTCTGATGGTCTGAGCTTGAATGCTTTGTGGAAGCATTTATGAGGGATCAAAACCACAAATACAGCCCCGCTCCCTTTGCGGTATTTATGTCCAGTCTCTTTAGCCTGCGGGAATGCCCTTTGTGGGTGGTCAAGGACAAATGGCATTAAAACCTATTAATTCAGCTTTTCATGTAAGAAGACTTAATGTGTCAGCTGCATTTTAATCTAAGGATTATATGCTTACCCTTGGAAAATTCTTTCAGGAACATCAATAAGGATTTTTTTCTACAATTTTTATTTTTTATCACAAGGCCCAATTATCATTTATAAATTTATTGGTATTTTAACACCTGAAATAAAAGCTCTTAGCTAAGAAAAAGAGGCAGCTGCTGCACAGTTAACAAGAAAGCCAAGATCTCTGCTGAGACCATCTAAATATATACCATGCTTTAAAAAATAATAGAACACCAAGCTAATGCTCACCACCGCAGGTATGTGTTTGAACAAATACCAATGCTGCAAATTCTGACCTGGATTTTTTTTTTAAGACTTCTATATTGATTTCCAGTTAAAGACAGTGGATGAACACACATATTCAGCTTCTCTCCCTCCTAAAACCCCAACACCACAAAATTATTTCTTTTTAAATGCATAAATCTACAAGGACAAAGATAATAGGACAAAGATTAAAATGTTAAGCTTTTTAAAGCTGGAAATCTGATAGATGACAGCAACTAACTTAGGCCCAATAAGCCAAATCTTCCAGTTTGTAAAGCCCCATTCTTAATCATGAATGGACATTCAAAGATCATAAAGAAAATATCTAACATGAAAGACAGAAACAGAGGAAAAAAGCAACTTGAAGGAAATAAAAACTATGCAAAAAAAGCTTAAAAAGTTATCATTAACCTCCTCAGAGAACTAAAGGAAAATGCTGTCATGAAATAGTAGGATTCTATACAATAAAAGCAATCAGAGAATAAAAAAACTGTCAAAAAATTTTAAAAAAACATTATAACAAACATGAAAAATTGAATAGAAGGGTTAGAAGGTAAACGTAGGAAATATCCTAAGAATACAGCTAAAAAGCAGATGCGGAAAGCAGAAGAAAAGGTAAGGCTGTCATAAGACAGTAAGTCAATATCTAACAGAATTCCAGAAAGAACAGAGAGAACAGAGAAAACAGAGGGGGGAATTCAACAATGATACACTTCAAGAAAATTTCTAAAAATGAAGGATGCAAGTTTCCAAGAAATGAAAATAGACCCCACCAAGGAATATTATGAAATTTCAGAACACTGAAAATAAAGAAAAGAATGAAAAACCCGAGAGAAAAAAGTAAGAAAAATGAAGTCACCTACAAAGGACTGGGAGACAGTCTTAGCCTTCTCACAATCAACACTAGATACTAAAAGATAATGAGCAATGCCTTCACCATTCTGAAGCTCAGTGATTTCTAATCTAGAATTCTATCCCCAGCCACACTGTAAATTAAACGTGAATGTGACAGTCTCAGATATATAACAACACAAAAGTCTTACCTCCCATATGAAATTTTCTAGGACACTTCCAGAAAATGTGCTCCTCCCAAATACGGGAGTAAACCAAGAAAGAAGAGAATATGCAATGAGGGAAACTGGGAATCCAATACATAGGCAAGATATAAGAAATGCCCAGAAAGGTGTTAAAGAGAGGATCCCAAGATGTGGTACACAGCAGGCCTAGAGAGCAAGTAGTCTGGACTGGAGCAAAGCGTAAGACTCCAGGTAAGATTTCTCCGAGATGTAATTGATAAGATAGCTGATATGGCTTAAAATATTAAGAGGAAATTTACATAGAAGGCTGTTTATGGTTAAAGTAGTGGTAAGTGCATAGAAAAACTTTAAAAGACACAATTACTAAATCCAAGGAAAACACAATTTGTGTGTGTGCAGAAAATTTAAAGTAATCAAACTATACTATATTACCCAGCACATTTGTGAATCCTGTTTACACACTGTAAACACCAGATAAGAAATGGGGGAGGAGGAAGAGAAACAAGCATAACAGGCATAACAGGAACTTAAGTCCACAAGAGGCCTTGTGGAACTATGGAATCCTTTAAAAAATCAAAGGTGTATGACTGCAATAAAAACAAAACCTACAATTTAAAAAGAGACGATGATTACAATCTATACCTAATATTTATTATACCATCTGACAACTTACAAATTACTTTCACAAGTGTCTAATGATTTAACATTTACCACAGCAAGTTAGGGACCCCCCCCCAAACCCCTCAACCCTCACTTATAGAGACAAGGGAATCACCTCGGGGAAATTAAGTAACTTGATCAAAGTGACAGAACATCAAGGTGGCAGACACAGGACTAGAAAGAGCGGGGCATGCACAGGAGTGTGGGATTTACAATATGGTTGATATTAATGACGTGAGTGGGCAACTATAGGGAGAGAGCCAAATTGAGTTTTGGAGTTCAGTGGCTCTCACACTTGAGCATGCCTAAGAATCACTTGGAGTTCCACCTAGACAAAGTATGCGAAGTAGTCAAGTTCATGAAAACAAAAAGTAGAATGGTTCCTACCAGGGGTTACAGGAGGGAGAGAAGGGGAGTTGTTTAATGGGTTTTCATGGGTATGAAGTTTCAGATTTGCAAGGTGAAAAAGTTCTGGAGATCTGTTGCACAACAATGTGAACGTGCTTAACACGAGTCAACCATACACTTAAAAACAGTAAAGAAGGCAAATTTTATGTTGTGTGTTTTTACTACAATATGTTTTATAAAAAAGAATCACCTGGAAGACTTGTTAAAACACTGATCACCACACCCCACCCCCAGAGTTTCAATTCAGTAGGTCTGGGTGAGGCCTGAGAATTTCCTCTTCTAACAAGTTACCTGATACTGCCATCCCAGGGACCAAATTTTAAGAACTATTGCTCTAGTTCAAAAATATTCTCAGTTTTGAATGCACAGCAACCTCCAATGAGACCCCAGACCAAGTAAATAAGTATGTAAGGAGCGGGGAGTTATGGAACTGCACATTCAGTGCTTTTAAAATCCCTCAGGGTGATTCTAATGTGCAGCCAGTGGTAGAGACCCTGGACTGGACACTGGCCACACCAGTCGGCAGTACAGCGTCTGTGATGCTAAGAGCAGACTTGTGCCACTCAGCCATATCCTGAGGCTGCAGGTTATGCCTCAATTTCCTCATCTAGAGAATAATGATCACAGAGTTGTGGAGAATATGAAATAGGATAACCAACAAAATAACTCAGAGTGGTGCCTATCACATAATGAATAATAATGTTGTTGCTTTTGTTGCTGACATTACAGGAAATAAGGTTGACCTTGTTTTCTCAGATGTAAAATGGGGTCAGGTTAAAGGCAACGAAGGAACTATTAATATTCAATCCCTGACTATGCAGCAAGGCAAAAGACTCCTAAGGAGCTAAGAACAAAATAAATGGGATTACATCTAAGAACCTATTATAATTCCCACAAATATTTGGCAAACTTAGGGTCATTTTTCTAGAATAAGTAGCTAATCCCTTTACTCTCTGAATAGGTGTTGTTCTTTGGAATAAAAACACCATTGTAAAGCCAGGTGTGGGGATCAATACTCAGACACCACATCCTCCATCTAAAGAAACAACAAAAACAATGTGATGTGTCCAGACAGAAGTAATGCAGGACTCACAGGTGAAGTTCTTGAAGACATCTACATGGTAAACAATTTCTTGTCAAAAGAAATTGAGAAAAAGACAAAGCCATGATCCATTTATGAAATATCTGAGACTCCCACATCCTAGGCACAGTGGCCGTCTGCAAGGAAACAGCAACCGCAGGGCAGAGCCTGTCCTGCAGTGAAGAAGCGGCTCTGGCCCTCCAGCAAGCTTTGTGAATGCTGAATGGCAAGCACTATTTTTCCTCAAAAGCACGGCAGAGAGCACCAAAATTGTGTTTTCTGCTAAGTTTTTCCTTGCTTTCATAGCTGCATAGCTTGGGAGCGTATCAGAGATTACTTACAAATACTTTAAGCTTCCAATGTCCTGAGTCCACAGTAAATAATACAAAGAAATCACTATTGTCCTCAGAGAACAGCAAGACCCTCCCTAGATGTCTGGGCCATACCAACATCTGAGTCTCGAGAAAAAAATCTCCTTCATTAAGTCATTTGGATAATTTCCCCACAAAACATTCTCAACAACTGTGGGAAAATATTCCTAATGAGGAAAATGGCATCTATTTGCAGACAGAACTGGCTGGCGGTCGTGAGAGCAGCACTCTGCAGTGGTCCAAACCTCTCAGAGTCAGCAATTCTGTCCTCACACCACACTGAAGGGTTCAAGTCACCTCCTGACCATAAAAAGCTTTGTCTCCTCTGAAACTCAGAATACTGGATCTGATTAAACCATCAGCAAACATTTCCCAAGCAAGTGCCCACCCTGGATATGGCTGATTGTCCCAAGCATGTGCCCGGCAGGATGGAAAAATTTCTTCTTAGGAATGTTCCCTTAAATGTTTCTGGGGGCACCGTTCATGTGGGAAGCTAAAGACCAACGTTCAAGTGGAATATACAGAAACACTGCCTTTCTTGTACCACACAGGTACTTTAATCCAGGCCTACTTTCTAGTGCTTTTTCCCTCTCTGCTTCCTTGATTTATTACTAACCCAAATGCCCCACAATCATAACACAGAGGCAAGTGTGGGGACAGGGAAGAAGTCAGGTCCAAACCAGTGTTGACCCTTACAGGTCATGTGAGTCTGAACTTCCTTATCTGTCAAATGAAGAGGACACTTGCTCCCCTGCCAGCAGGACAGCTTTAAAGGTTGACAGTAATAACCAGGGATAGAGAGGCTAGCGTGCATGAGGCACTATTCTAAGTGCCCTGCAAATGTCCATTAATTCGATCCTTCTCAGAACTCTTTTAGGTAAATACCTTTATCCCCATTGCACATTTGAGAAAACTGAGATACAAAGAGGTTAAGTAATTGGTCAAAAGCTCATGCAAGCTAATAACTGAACCTAGTCTAGCCCCAGAATCCATGTTTTTAATCACTTCTTTATCCTGCCTCCCCAATATCTCCTAAAGGTCAAACAAGAATACATCTGAAAATGCTTTTCAAACCATTAAAAGATACATTAATAATAATCATTATAATAATTAGTGTACCTCCCAGCACCCCCAATCCTCTTGGTAACTGCCCTGATTCACCCTTGGAGGGAACCATTCCCAGCTATCATCAGTTCATGCTTCACCTTCTGCAGAAGATGTGCTGACCTCAGGCCCTGGAGTGAAGCACATGATCTGGCTATCCAATAGGAATAGGCCAATATACCTGGCCACAGCCACTGGTCCAGCATGAGGCACATGACTCATCATGACCAGGAAGTTTGTTTGTAACTAAGCAAACCTGAAGCTGCTAGAAGTCTCCATTCAGAGCCCAAAAACATGTAGCCAAGATGAATCCTCATGACATCATTTTGATCCTTAGTCTAGCCCCTCCTGAAGGCAGATCCAGTCCTTAGATTTGCAATTACTTAAGGCCATAGACTTTTTCACTTGAGACAGTTTGAAATGAGTTTTCTGTCACTTGCAACCAAGGCACTCTGTTCTATCAACTAAATTTACCTATACTTTCAGTACTTTCCCCTCTCTAAAAATAAAACTTGAAGACTATTCAAGTGAATTTTAATTGGCTAGTCTTGACAAAGCAACACTTCTGAGGCTGGACTTCCTGACAAGATAACTCCACATTATGTAGAACAGACTTCATTTTTCCAATGCCACAGAACAAGGAATCTGGCCTATCAAAAAATTTGTTTCAGAAAATTTCATTTTTAATCAAAAGAACTAAGCCTACAGTTTCCAACTTTGTAAGAAAACAACTATGATATTTATTTTCTCAGCCTTCTCAATTCTTGTTTTTCCTCTAAACAACTATCCATATAGAATCACTAAAAAGAATATGACTGAATTCTTTAAAACATTTTAAACACAAAAAGTAGAAGACATGAATGGCTATAGATCATTTCTTCCTCCTAAAGAAGATTGGCTGGGCGCAGTGGCTCACACCTGTAATCCCAGCACTTTGGGAGGCCAATGGGGGAGGATCACGAGGTCAGGAGTTCAAGACCAGCCTGGCCAACATAGTGAAACGCTGTCTCTACTAAAAATACAAAAAATTAGCCAGGCATGGTGGCGGGTGCCTGTAATTCCAGCTACTTGGGAGGCTGAAGCAGGAGAATCACTTGAACCCGGGAGGCAGAGGTTGTAGTAAGCGGAGATCGTGCCACTGCACTCCAGCCTGGGTGACAGTGCGAGACTCCATCTCAAAAAAAAAAAAAAAAAAAAAAGATCAACTACACCTTAACTTTATTAATTTTGGCAACAAAACAAACCAGTTTGGAGTTTTCATCACATTCATTAAGCTATTTATTGTACCAGTTCACATTCCTTCCCTGTGGTTTCTTCAGAAGCCTAAGATTTCAGAGGAAAGCACTATGGGTCACCCAGATCACTGCCTCAAAAGGTGACAAATAGCATCCCATTTGATGTCTGATGGCTCCCAAATCCATGTGTAAGTATGACCAGGGCTTCCTGCATTTTCACATCTTTGAATTACTGCACATAGCTAAATAACTGCAACTATAACATCCAAACAAATTCCCACTTCCTGAAAGACCTCTCAGGCTGAAAGAAGGCAATGATGCAGACATCATGGCTGAAGATGGTTCACTGATATGGTTTGACTTGCTTCCTTTACATTGGTCTGAGGACAGTGTAGGGGTGGTGAATGGGCAGTCACTCACAGCCCCAGTGTCCACCCATAATATATATACAAGCACATATGAAAATGCTACACAGGTGTAAAAGATGTTAAAAACAAGTTTCAAATTCCTTAATGTAAAAAAATACTTCTATATTTTCTATTAAGAAGAAACAAACTTTTATGACTTTGATAAGCAAATAGATAAGCACACAAACAGAGATAGATTAATTTGTTATGCTGCATTCCAAACTTTATTATCCAAACTCTATTATCTTGGTTGGCTGTTGTTTCTATTGAGGTTTATTATTAAAGTAGCACAAGACTGACCATATGCTTGGCTTGCTTTAGTAAGCACTTCAAAACTCATCCCTTCTCCAGACATGGCTACCTTCAAACAGTCTGGCATTACCACATGTAAACAATTAGGACATTTAAAACTACAGTAATTGTGCAAACATCACATTACATACTCCTCATTACGGAAGCAAAAAATCAAATTATGTAGGGTAAGTGTTTATCAAGTTTATAAAATTAATAAAGATAGCTGACATAATAGTTTTAAATTGAGGATTTTTAGTTCCACTTCCATATTATACTTTTTATTCTAAAAGCAGCTATGCTGAGAATAAGCCCCATGTGGTTGGTGCACACGGAAATGCGCTACCTGCATAACTAGAAGAGCTGACAGGGGATGCCCCTACACCACGATGTCATATTTTTGATTTATAGAAAGCACAATCATGGAATGGAATTTCAAATTCATAGGAGACTCTTTTACTATACTTGATCTTAGCCAAAAGGCCAAGAAGTGATAGAGGAGCTTCTTTTAAACTCCTCAAGACCAAGAACCATATCTGATTTTCACCATTTTATGCCTGAAATACAATAGACACTCTGTAAATACGTGTTGGATGAATACATGAATGAGAACATTAACACTAAATTTAATGGGCTCAGATTACTACATGACTACAGAGGTTATGATTACTATGTCCTTGCTTTTATGAAGTAAAGCAGGAGCTGGCAAACTTTTTTGTAAAGGGCTAGATGGTAAATATTTTAGGCTTTGTAGGCCATATGGTCACTGTTGCAACTACTCAACCCTGGTCTCTTTTGCAACTATTCAACTCTGCAGTTATAGCAAAATATGTAAACAAATGAGCATGACTTTTTGAATAAAACTTTATGTATAAAAACAGAATTTTTCCATAAAAACACCCAAATCCTCTGAGGAACACTTTCTTATTATATAATGATGACTCTACTCTCTAAAGTTTGGAAAATGGTGGACTTGCTAAATTGAGCTGGACAGAGTTTGTTGGGTTGATATTTGGGCAGAGGATATACACTCACTCTCCACCATGCCCATCAATCCTTATGAGCAACCCCATTCATTTCAGTCACGTTACCAGCCTGGCCCATGTAAGCCTCTGAATTTACATCCCTGAACTCTACAGAACAACTGGCTTCCGGGGATGTGGCCCACTGCCATACCTGTGAATTGATAACTATACTACAGGCTCCTCAAGGGCAAGCCCAAACGTTCAACTCTTTGCCCCTCACCTAACACTTAATATCAACACCTAATGAACTTTAAATATTCATCAATTGCCTGTTGTTTGACATGTTCTGCACAGTCTCCTTGGAGGGGCTGTAGAGAAAGTAATAATGGCAGAGAAGAGGACGTAGAAAACATGTGCCAGTAGGGAACGACGTGAGAAGGGACATGGTGAGTCACAGGAAGAGCAGCAGGAATCAGCACAGGACTGATGAAACCACACCCAATTCTCCCAAGTGTGTCTCAATCTTCTCGCTGCTGTCTAGATTCCTCCCTCATATCACAGCAGAAGCTGAGCACAACCTGGTACTATTTCCACTATAACCATGATGAGGAGAAAACCTTGTTTAATTCTCATTTCCTCTGGAGGGTGCCCCAGATGGGTAAACCCAAACAATTACCCACATCTAGTAAAATAAATAAATTGTTATATTCTCCCACAATGGAATGCTCTAAAGAAATGAAAATGAGCAATCAATAACTAAACTATATGCAATAATATGCAGGAATCTAATATGTTGTTGAATGAGAGAAGCCAGACACAAAAGAGTACAATCTGCATTATATATTACACACACACACAAAGAAAAGACAAATGCAGAACTAATTTATGCTCCTAGAAGTCAAGAGAGTAGTCATCCATGGAGCAAGGGTACAGTTGACCCTTGAACAACACTGGTTTGAACTGTAAGGGGCCACTTAAAGGCAGATTTTTTTCAATAAACACATTGGAAAATTTTTTTGGAGATTTGCAACACTTTGAAAAAGCTCACAGATAAACCAAATAGCCTACAAATAGCAGAAAAAAAAATTAAGGAAATATGAGGTATGCTGTGAATGCATAAAATATATGTCATTGGCCGGGCGTGGCAGCTCACGCCTATAATTCCACCACTTTGGGAGGCCAAGGCGGGTGGATCACGAGGTCAGGAGTTCGAGACCAGCCTGGCCAATATGGTGAAACCGTGTCTCTACTAAAAATACAAAAATTAGCCTGGCATGGTGGCACGCACCTGTAATCCCAGCTACTCGGGAGGAAGAATCGCTTGAACCCAGAAGGCGGAGGTTGCAGTGAGCCGAGATCGTGCCACTGCACTCCAGCCTGGGCAACAGAGCAAGACTGCATCTCAAAATATATATGTGTGTGTGTGTGTGTGTGTGTGTGTGTGTGTGTGTGTGTGTGTGTCGTTATGTAGTAAGTCAGTAAGGCTTCCAGTCAACAGTAGGCTATTACTAGTTACATTTTCAGGGAGACAAAATTATACTTGGATTTTCAACTGCACCCCTAATCCCCAAATTATTTAAGAGTCAACTGTAGTGTCTAAAAGGAAGCATGAGATTGTGTTAGTCATGCTCTGTTTCTTAATCTGGGTGCTGGTTACATGGATGTGTTCAATCTGTGAAGTTATATTGAGCTATACACTTATAATATGTCTATTTTCCATATGTATCTTCTACTTCAGTAGAAAGTTTTTTAAAATCACCATATCTCAGTGGTCTAGGACTAGACAGGACCCCATATGTCTTCCCTTCATTCATCCTTCAAAACCCCCTTTGCCTCACGTGGAGTCCCACTCACTCCTCCTCATCTTTTCAAAGCATAACCATACAGAGGCCAAAGAATAAAAAAGCAAAACTCAATCATTCTGAGCTACCCGTGATTCCAGACACAACTCCTTCTGAATGCCAGTATCTTTTGAAGAACCTTTACTGCTATCACTGACCTTTTGTTCTAAATCAGAAATGAGAGTATAAGAAGCCACTGCTGCCCTAAATGGCTCACTTAAATAGACTTTCTTTAAAATATGCTCTAAATAGGCAACCTTATAGACACAAATGTCTGTAAAACAATGCTTAGATACACAGGGACGACTTGAGGAAGATACCGTAAATAAATAGTAACTGAGATTGGAAAGCAGAACAGTCGACAGCCATCTTGCAAGAACCACAGATAACTGATGGTGTAATTGGCTATAATGTGTAAAGATCTACAACTGTAATCATAGCTGAACATGTCTTTGAGATTTTAAGTAAAGTTTCAATGTAGGTAGTCAAATTATGAGGCTGGGAATCATTTTTAATCTCTCTAATGCTGATTTTAATACATTAACCTATATAACATCAACTTCACAGTACCAGTCATATTCTTTCCACATTCTCCTATAAGTTTAGGTTTAAAAAATCAGCTAAGACCTTTGATCACATCAGAGCACAGAGACTGATCTAATTTTTTTTTTTTTTTTTTTTTTTTTTGAGACAGGGTCCCACTCTGTCACTTAGACTGGAGTGCAGAGGCGTGATCTCGGCTCACCGCAACCTCTGCCTCCCAGGCTCAAGTGATTCTCCTGCCTCAGCCTCCCGAGTAGCTGGGATTACTGGCACATGTCACTACCGCTCAGCTAACTTTTGTATTTTTAGTAGAGACAGGGTTTCACTATGTTGGCCAGGCAGGTCTTAAACTCCTGACTTCAAATGATCCACCTGCCTCGGCCTCCCAAAGTGCTGGGATTACAGGCATGAGCCACCAGGCCCAGCCCTGGTCTATTTGTGAATCTTGATCAGGGAGAAGGTGAGGCTGGTGATCAGATCCACTGACCTAACCATGAAACATCAGCCATGGCGGGGATGGGTAGATTACAGGAAGAAAGCACAGTAATTTCTCTCTTGGGGTATATGTACAGTACAAGTTCCATGCCTTTATATTCAGATTTTTCTCATATCAAATTCATATTACTTATCTGTTCATTAAAGAAATCACTCTCTCTCTCTCCGTGTGTGTGAGAGAGATAGACTGGGACTCACTGTCGCCCAGCCTGGAGTACAGTGGCATAATCATAGCTTACTACACCCTCCAACTCCTGGGCTCAAGCGATCCTCCCACCTCAACCTCCCAAGTAGCTAGGACTACAGGCATGTGCCACCATGACTGGCTAAATTTTTAATTTTTTGTAGACAAGGTCTTGCTATTAAAAATGGTTTTGGGTTTTGTTTTTTGAGACAGGGTCTTGTCTGTCACCCAGGCTGCAGTGCAGTAGCTCCATCACGGCTCACTACAGCCTCGACTTTGTGGGCTCAAGCGATCCTCCCACCTCAGCCTGCTGAATAGCTGGGACCACAGGTGTGCACCACCACACCCAGCTAATTTTTTTTGTATTTTTTCTAGAGATGGGTCTCACCTTGTTGCCTAGGCTGATTTTGAAATCCTGGGCTCAAGCGATCCATTCCCCTCAGCCTCCCAAAGTGCCGGGATTACAGGTGTAAGCCAGCACGCCTGGCCTAAAAATGTTTTTAATCTGACTTTATTTCTATCAACAGTGAAGGGAGCATAACTCAGTTACACACTTCAGTACAAAACTATAAATTTAATTAAATGGTTCTGTGCCACGTAGTTCTAAAAGGTCTTTCAGGGAAGAATATCCTTATTTGTAAGAGCTGCATCCCAAGAATTTAGGAAAAAATGTCATAATATCTGCAACTTCTACATGTTTCAGCTAAAAAATGTACAAACCTATACACACACCAAAAAATGTGGCAAAATGCTAATAACTGTTAAAGCTAAGGTGTAGATAGGCAGGAACTCATTGCACGTTCTCTTAACTCTCTTCAGTATGGTTGAAAATGTTTTACAATAAAAAGCTGCATAGAAATATTTACTTACCTTTCAAATGATGGCTGTCTTCTTTCTCCTGATCAAAAATGAATGACTAAATATGCCCACGGGCCCATTCAGGGATCGTACATGCTGTCGTCACGCTGCAAGAATAAGCAAAGCAACATGCGTGTTATCACCAAGAATTTTTACTCTTAATACTATTTCAGTTGAGAACGTGTTCTTAATATATGATAAGCCTCTAAATTTAAATACTGCTACAACTTTTTAATAGGGGAAAAAGTAAAAAAAGAAAAAATAATCCCATCACATATTGAATGTAGGGAACAACTATCAGCCCCACCCACTCTAGGAAATTTTGGAATAAAGGAATTCCTCTGTAAGTTTCTTTTTTTTTCCCTCCAACTTTATTGAAGTATGATTGACAAATAAAAATTACATATATTTAAAGTGTACAAGGTGATGGTTTTATATATGTATACATTGTGAAATGATTGCCACAAACTACTTAACATATCTATCACCTCATACAATTCCCTTTTTTTTGAGGAGTTTTCTGGTAAAAACAAGAAAACTTGCTAGATAAATTCTAAAAGAGCCTTACAGTGTAGTTACCATTTGTGTGTGTGTGGTGAGAACACATAAGGTCTACTGTCTTAGCAAATTCAAATATACATTATTATTCCCTATAGTCACCATGCATTAGGTCTTCATCTTATAGCTGAAGGTTTGCCTCAGTTCCTGTCGAATCACAGCAATTTCAGGGCAGTGATGTAGCCCAAACATCCACTCTAACAAAAACTGGAGCTTCAATGACTTGAGATTTACTCTGACCTTGGATTTCTGAGACCACACTTAGAAGGCATCCACGTACCCACCTAGAACCACACAGGAATTGCTGAACCTCCTCAAATCCTTTCCAGCAAAGGTATTCAGATCCAATCTACAGTATACTCAACTACAATACACACAAGTTTGCGGCAAAGTGGTATCATGGCCTGAAAGTCATACTCCTGTTGCCATGACGATACCTTCTGTTTTGGCATTACCCATCACATTTGATCACAGCCCTGTGAGGTAAGCAGGGTTTATGGATCCCATTTTCCAGAGAAGGCAGCTAAGCGTCAGAGATGATATCTGACAAGGATATTCAACTAGAAAGCACCAGAGATTAAACTCCTATTTGTCTTCTGACCCCAAGCCCTGGGCTTGTCTCACTATACAGATCACCTCCACCCTCCTGCTCCCGAACATGATGCCTTCCTTAAAACCAACCCCACAGCCAAATGGCCAAACAACACATCACACCAGGGAGGCAGCCGGGCACTGCAGTGTGCTCCCTGAAAGCATATATTCACAATCTTTCTTAATAGTACCATTAATACTATAATCATTATTACCAATTACTATAATTACTATTAGTAATTATACTTCTCTTGTAGACACAATAACCCTTAATGTATTTTTGCCATTTATATACATACATGCACTTTATTTTTTCCTTCTTCCTCAAAAGAGCACACTGTTCACTAACAGAAGGAAAACAAGCATCACACTGCATCGCTGGCGATTTGTAACCTCTCCATAATGAAAGGCAGTTATATTTGCTGTTGAGGATTTTCCTTTCATTTTTATAAAACGCAAAATACACTAGAATATAATGCCACAGACACAGCTCCGCAAATAAAGATGGAAGCAGCATCAAAACTACAGTTGGGGAGAACGTGACATCTCTGCATGATGGCCCTACTTGGCGCTTCATCTGCTAATCACCAGAATTCTGTAGACACAGAGAGTTAGCAGTATCAATGACTAACACGCGAAGTACTGGTGTACAAAAGCCTAAAGAAAGCCAGTCTGGAACCCCGTGCACCTGGCTCTCAGGCCTATCTCCTCCACTTTTTAGCTTCATTAAAAATGGAGAGAACCTCTTCCGGCTGCTTCCTCACCTGAGGGCTGCAACACCTGCTCACAAGGATGTTGGGATCCACAAAGGGGAGATGGTGCGACTCACTGCCTCACAACCCAGAACACTTAGACCCCCAGGAATACTCACTAAGAAGTTATGCCAAGAGCCAAACAAAGCTAAAGAAAAATAAACATGACATAGCTTCCAGAAACATCAGTGTTACTCAAAGATTTTGGTGAGGGAAGGTTAAGTAAATGAATCAATAATTTAAAAGTTGTTAACATTAAAACAAGTATAAATTATGGATTAGAATGTAATCGTTGCATAGATTTTTAAGCTAAGGCCCCTGTCCTTGCTTGCCTAGGTCATTTTTGGCCATGCTCTTAGATGTGGGGGTGAGTAGCAAGGGGTGGACCCTTCTCTCCTTTTTCATTAAAGATGGTCTTGGGAAAAAGTATGGGGCTGAAACAGATTTTAATATCACAATGGCCCTTCATGTGGAGAATTCTCTTCAAAATCAAGAGTCTCAGATTGTTGCCAGATCTAGGTACACGTAGAATGAAGTCCAGGCACGTATCATCCCATCTCCCACCACAGATCCCGGCGCAAGTATTACTGAAGTTCCTTTCCTCATGGCCTTTCCCGCCCACTCCCCTGCCTCAGGTACGTTCTTGTCAGGCAAGCTCAGGCCACTCAAATACTCAGCTACATCACTGACATTTCTTTAAACCCATACTAATTGGTAACACATTCAGTATCTATAAAACTTTTCATTTAAATGGATGGCTGCACTATTACTAAAGAAAAATGAGCTCGCCAATTTAGTTTGTCTCTAAAAAAATGTTTACTGTGAAATATACTATATTTAAAAGTGCGTTTAACTGTGGTAGCCAGCCTCCAAGATGGCCCGTGGTGATATCCGCCTCCCAGTATTCATGCGCTTGTATAGTCCCGTCCCACTTGGAACAGGGCTGGCATGTGGGAACCACTACAATATTGCTGAAATGCTGGCGTGAGACTGCAAAAGTCCAAAGACTCCACCTTCCATCTCTGTTTTCGGAGGGAAGCTGGCTGTTCTGATATGAGGACACGCTCAAGAAGCTCTGCAGAGATACACGTGGGAAAGAACTGAGGCCTCTTGCCAAGAACCAGCAAGGAACTGAGGCCTCCTGGCAACAGCTATGTGAGTGAGCCATCTTGGAACCAGATCCTTCAGCCTCAGTCAAGCCTTCAAATAGATGGCAGCAGCTTCAGTTGACATCTTGACTGCAACCTCATGAGAGACTGCGAGTCAGAACCACCCTGCTTAGCTGCTCCCAAATTCCTGGCCTACTCATGGAATCTAAGTGAGATGACAAATGTGTATTATCGTTTTAAGGTGCTAAGTCTTGAGGTTTGTTATGCAGTGATAAGTAACCTATCAACATATATAGGTGTAAAGAATAATAAAATAAATCTCATGTACCTAATACCAGTGTTTAAATTTTTTTTTCTTTTTTTGGAAGCCGTGTGTGTGTGTCTTTCCTGATTGCATGTCTCCCAATCATCCTTCACCACCACTTCCACCACCAAGATTCACCACTAGCCTGAATTTTGAGTCAATCATTCCTTGGCTCCTCTTTATGGTTTTGCCACATATGTGCTATCAATATGTTGTTGTGATTTGCTGATTCTAAGCCTACTATGAATGAAACAATACGGTATGTGCTCTTCTAGACTTGCCTCTTAAGATTTTGAGATTCATCCCTGTTGACTCATGTGGCTTTAGTTCATTCATTTTGTCACCACGATACAGTTCTCATTGTGTGAACATACCCACAATTTACTGTTCTGTTCTACTGTTGGGGACCCTCTGGGGATTTTGCAATTTTCTGCTACTTTGAATAATGCTGCCATTTACATTCTACTGTGTGTCCTCTGGTACACACAGGCAAGAATTTCTCCAGGGTATATACCTAGGAGAGGAGAGCTGGACTACGGATTGCACGTGTTCAACTCCTCTAATGCCAAATTGTTTTCCAAAGTGGTTGTGTACAATTGACTCTTTAGCCGCCTTTCCAGTTTCTCTCCAAATAAGAGGCATGCTTGTTTTGCCAATTACCAGGAAAGCTTTCAACCAACAAAAGGGAAAGCTTTTCCTATTTGCAGCATCACTACTACAAATAAATAGTACTCCAAAGCAGTGACCTAGACAGCTGGAACATATTAGTCACACGACATCAGTACAGACTTCAGAATAATGATGCAAACCCAGCCAACACCACACACTGCCCATGGGTATAAGTCAAATTTGATTTCTAGACATACAGTAAATTCAGAGGCTGTTTTCTTCCTGGTAGATTCACATACTATGGGCCCACCTGACTGGTATCTTCTTGAAGGAGAAAAAGAGTAATTCACATGCAACCCAGCCAAATTCAAGATTAAAACAGGAGAATCAAATAATTTCTGTGAAATAATGGAATATCTATGTGTGTTTTTTTAAACAGGCAGTTGGTTAGGTTTTTTAATATTTTTACCTATAAAATTGTTATTTATTACACTTGATTTTATTTATAGTAATTCTACAAAAAATTCTCAATTATTTTCTCTATAAAAAGCTGTCCTTTATAGGTTTAGTTAATCCAGTTTCTTAGATGAAAATAGTAATTTTTACAATTTAATCTGCATTTCTAGGAAAAATGTGATAGCAAATGTTTTTATCAGCATGAAATACAAATAATGAGAAATTATCTCAATTTGAGTAGGAAGGAAAGAAGAAATGTTATCATAAATTTAAAAGAGACTCATATGTCATGGGAAGAAACAATGGCAGTAGATAATCAAAATAAGTTCATTTCAACTCAACCTCCTGACAGTTCTCGTCTTTTTAAAATCATTTATCCCGACAAGGTAGAAACTGTTTATTCCCATCTTGTAGATGGAAGAAACTGAGGTACAGGAAGGAATTCAGTTATGCAGTCACACAGCTGATAAGTGGTAGAACAAGGATTTAAACCCAAGCAGTTTACTCCAGAGCCCATATTCTTAACCACCACTCTGGACAGCTTCTTCAGTCCCCCAAGACAAGTCAGAAGGCCCTGCAATGGTGATGATAGTAGCTACCAGTTAATAAGCATCTACAATGTCCTAAGCACTTATTAAGCACTCTACTGCATACTGCATTCTTTTTTTTTTTTTGAGATGGAGTCCCGCTCTGTTGCCCAGGCTGGAGTGCAGTAGCACGATCTCGGCTCACTGCCACCTCCACCTCCCAGGTTCAAGCAATTCTCCTGTCTCAGCCTCGTGAGTTGCTGGGACTACAGGCGCACACCACCATGCCTGGCTAACGTTTTTGTGCTTTTAGTAGAGGCAGGGTTTCACTGTATTAGTCAGGCTGGTCTCAAACTCCTAACCTTAGGTAATCCACCAGCCTCAGCCTCCCAATGTGCTGGGATACAGGCATGAGCCACCATGCCCAGCCTACTGTGTTATTTCTAATTCTCTCCACATCTCTACCGGGTATGTATTATTCCCATTTTATAGGTGAAGAATCACAGGCTCTGAGAGTTTAAGTAACTTGGCCAAAATCACATAGGCAGTAAAATAAAATGGTGGAGACACCACTTGAACCTATTGTTGACTTCAAAGTTCATGCTGTTTCCACAGTGGGCCTTTTAGACAAAATAAAACCATCTAATTTCAGGGCTTGTGGTAGGCAAGTGTGACCTTAAGGTCCTGGAAACAGTCCCCATGAAGGAAACAGATGCCATATTGGGGGAAGGTATGCCAGTGTTCCTAGTGACAGTAGCTTTCATGCCCCCATCACAATGAGACTGAGGCAGAGTGGGTGCCGATAAGAGCAGAGGACTCAGTCAGAAGACGACTGGGTTCCACTGGGCAGGGCAACTGGCCTCTCAGGCACAATGTTTTCCTCTGCAAAATGTGGATATCTTTTATTTCAAAGGGTTGCTGTGAGGATTAGAGAGACTAACACCTGGCACACAGCAGGCATCAGATGTATGCTTGGCAATGGCAAGATTAAGAGAAAACAAGCCCCAGCAATCTAGCAGGAAATAGCAGGGAGGTAATTTTAAACATTTTCTTGCTTCCATATATAAAGCCTCACATAATTCAAGATGGATGATTCAATAATTTTTAAAAGATCTTACTTGTATCACGATTTTTTTTTTTTTTTTTTGAGACAGAGTTTCGCTCTTGTTGCCCAGGCTGAAGTGCAATGGCACGATCTCAGCTCACCGCAACCTGCGCCTCCCTGGTTCAAGCGATTCCCCTGCCTCAGCCTCCCGAATAGCTGGGATTACAGGCATTCACCACAACACCTGGCTAATTTTTTGTATTTTCAGTAGAGACAGGGTTTCGCCATGTTGGCTAAGCTGGTCTTGAATTCCTGACCTCAGGTGATCTGCCCACCTCGGCCTCCCAAAGTGCTGGGCTTACAGGCGTGAGCCACCACGCCCAGCCCAATTTCTTTTTTACTAATATGATAGCTTCCACATTCTGGCCTACTGTAAGCACAATAACCTTGCTAACTAGATCAACCCTTTATGATATCATTTTTTACATAAACATTGGAGCTGGAATGGACTCAAAGTAAAACATTTGGCACATTTAACCTTTCTGTTACTGACTAGAAAAGTGGCCAGGGAGGGAGAGAAACCACCTCAGGTCAGTATGAGGTGTTTGAAGAACACAGAAGCAGCTATTGCTAACATTTACTCAGAATACATCATGAGCCAGATCTCCTGCTCAGCATGTTTCCTGCATTCTCTCTTAAAACCCCTCACTCAACAACCCTGAGAGAACATATCATAATACAGATCCCTATTTAACAGAAAAGGAAATTGATTCATACACTGACTTGCTTAAAGTCAGTGACTGCTAGTCCCACAGACTAGCAGATGGGTACAACTGGCTCGTTGCACATGGTAGGCACTCAGTATGTTTTGAACATGGGGTCTTTATTTTCTCCACCACAAAAATAAAAAGCACTACTAATTCCACAAAGATTTTAAGGATAAAATGAGATTAGGTACACAAAGTCCCTGGCTCAGTGCTTTGACCTTGGCATATGCTGCGGTAGGTGAGCAACAATGCTGATATAAAAAGGCATAATAACCACCTGGAACAAGGTTATGATAATGACAATGAGCATAACACATATCGTAATGGGCACAAGATGTATGAATGCCAAACAAACACATGAAAAGATGTTCAATATCATTAATCATTAGGGAAATGCAAATCAAAATCATCATGAAATACCATTACACACCTATTAGAATAGCTGAACTGCATAAACTGAAAATATTAAATGCCAGCAAAAATACAGGTCAACTAGGACTTTCATATTCTGCTGCTGGGAATGCAATGGGTGAATACATATGCAAACCATGGCACATCCATACAACAGAATACTAGTTAGTAATAAAAAGGAACAAACCTTTGATACACACAATGTGGATGGATGTCAAATGCATTATGCTAAGTGAAAGCTAGTCTCAAAAAGTCTGTATAATCCCACTTACATAATAGTCTTACAAAGAAAAAATTATAAAGGCAGAGAACAGATCAGTATTGCCAGGAGTTCAGGAGGAAAGAGGATTTAAACTACAAAAAGGCAGCAC